>NC_000001.11:233153818-233305333 GCF_000001405.40 Homo sapiens
ACTTGTTCTATTTGATTTTTAATACTATGTATTATTTTGATATAAGTGAAAAATACATTATAAAAAGCAAGAGCTCTCAGAATCATGTGCATCACATAGAAACTAGTCTATCTGTAAACTGAGAGACAAGATTTGCTAAAATGCAAAGTAAATCTCATTTAAGAATTGCAAATTTGGGACCCATTAGTGAATGTTTTGTAATAGTGGATTTTTTTAAATTACAATTTAAATAGATGTTTAATTGATGTGTTTTTTTGTTTTGTTTTGTTTTATTTTTTGAGAGGGAATCTTGCTCTGTCACCCAGGCTGGAGTACAGTGGTGTGGTCTCGGCTCACTGCAACCTCTGCTTCCTGGGTTCAAGCGATTCTCCTGCCTCAGCCTCCAGAGTAGCTGGGACTACAGGCGTGCAACACCAAGTCGAACTAATTTTTTGTAATTTTTTAGTAGAGACAGGGTTTCACCGTGTTAGCCAGGATGGTCTTGATCTCCTGACCTCATGGTCCACCCACCTCAGCCTCCCAAAGTGCTGGGATTACAGGTGTGGGCCACCATGCCCGGCCTATGTGTTTTATAATGTATATTATCCTTTTAAATGTATTCTAATGCATCCAAAAAGTATAGCTTAAGCTTTTCAGTATGGCACAGAGGTACATGTGAATCCTCCAAACTACCCTTTACTTCAAGAGGCTTTGTATGCCCTTATCAGCCTATAGAAAACCTTCCTTTAGTGAATTTACAAAGCATTAATCATTAATTTTCTCCTCCAATGTTTACTGACTATCTGCCATGCACCAGATATCAACGCAACATTTAATTATATAATTCCATATATTTTCCATTTTATATGCATATCAATAAGTTGGAAAGATTTAAGCAATGATACATGAAATTAATTGTAAGCTCCTCACTTAGGATATTAGCCTTTTACTTCTTTCTTTTTACTTTGTTTTTTAAGAGAAAGAGTCTTGGCCAGGCACGGTGGCTCACGCCCATAATCCCAGCACTTTGGGAGGCCGAGGCAGGCAGATCACTTGAGACCAGGATTTCGAGACCAGCCTGGCCAACATAGTGAAACCCTGTCTCTACTAAAAGTACAAAAATTAGCAGGGTATAGTAGCACACACCTGTAATTCCAGCTAGTAGGGCAGCTGAGGCATGAGAATTGCTTGAACCCAGAGGGTGGAAGTTGGGTGAGCTGGGATCGAGCCACTGCATTCCAGCCTGGGCAACAGAGTGAGACTCCGTCTCAAAAAAAAAAAAAAAAAAAAAGATACAGAAACTCGTTATGGGGCTCCAGCTAAAGTGCGAGAGTGCGGTGGCTATTCAATAGGCACTATCATAGTGCACTACAGCCTCTAACTCCTGGGCTCGAGTGATCTTCCTGCCTCAGCCTCCCAAGTAGCTGGGACTACAGGCACATACCATCATGCCCAGCTACTGTTTCTTTGTCTTTCCTGCAGGGCGGAACCTAGTGTCACGGCCCACATTACTGTATGTGTGTAGCAGTCACAATTCTACGGTGACACAGCCATAGGCTTATTTACCAGATTATAAGCTTTTGGATGACAGGAACTACATCTTAGTCATTCCTACGTCACTGGTTCACAGGGCTTGGCATCTTGTAGGAACTCAATAATTATTTTCTGAATGAGTGACTAGTATATCCATAAGCATTTTCTATGTGAATAAACAAGTAAATAAATGAATCTCAATACCATACTTATTCCTTGTCTCAATCTCTTTTAACTCCATTGTAATCCATTTGTATGGTAAGAGTACAGTCATCAAATCAGGTCACTATTTTTAATTCTTAAAAGCCAAGAATCATAATATTATGGAAACATTACCTTGGAGGACCATGTGAAATGTGACTCAACCCCAATATTTGCTTTTTGAAATAATTCCTTTGGAAAGTTTTAAGATAAAACAAATTTTCAATCAGGTCCAACTTTGTACTTCTTTATGACTGGGATCAATCAATAAAGTCATTTGTCTGGAATCATTATAATTCAGGAAAATTAATTTGCTTTATTTTCTAAAAATATGAGTACTCCTTTAACATTTAGTGTCAAAAACCCCAAGCTAGAATAATATGCAGTTGCCTATTGTGCTGTCTTCATGTTCAGCATGATTAACTTAGCTTGGGGGGAAATATGGCAATTTTTTAAAAGAGCAACTTCACATATACACATTAATATAACTCAGTTGTGTCCCCATGACCATCATGATTCATCTGATGCTGAACTGTACTATAAGTGATAGAATTTTACTCTCCTAATTCAAATATTGGTGAAACAGCATATCAAGGTTGGGAGGAGATAATATTTACTTTCAATAAATTAGTCTCAAAGGTAAAGAATTAAATTGACTAAAAAAGATATGTTTCAACATGCAGTCTTCAACTTCAGTTATAATATCTATTTCCATTTATCACAGTCTGAATTTTATACCAAAATTATTCGTTATCTCCACATTCTACCAAGTAGAAGTACATATTCAAAGTATGCAGAAAGGAAAGTAAGCCAAAAGGAAGTATATGCACCAAGTTTAAAGTTTGTTCCAGCGACTACAGAGTGAAGTGATGATGGTTACATTAAACGCAGTTCAGCATTTGTGAGCCTCCCTCTCTACACCCAAGCACTGCCGTGAGCACTGGAGGAGGAGTATGCGCTAGCTGACATGGAGCTCAGTCTACCTTAGGCACCAGTGGTTTCAAGTGGTTATGGAAGGGAGGCTCAGGGAGCAGTGGGGAATCTATTCAGGTTTAGGTGGTCGGGGCAAGACTTCTCTGGAGGGGCCGATTTTAAACAGACGTGGGCTGGGCACGGTGGCTCATGCTTGTAATCCCAGCACTTTGGGAGACCAAGGCGGGCAGATCACTTGAGGTCAAGAGTTCAAGACCAGACTGGCCAACATGGTGAAACCCCATCTCTACTAAAAATACAAAAATTAGCCGGGTGTGGTGGCGGGCACCTGTAATCCCAGCTACTCAGGAGGCTGAGGCAGGAGAATCACTTGAACCCAGGAGGCAGAGGTTGCAGTGAGCCGAGATTGCACCACTGCCCTCCAGCCTGGGTGATAGAGTGAGATTCAGTCTCAAAACAAACAAACAAACAAACAAAAAACGCAGAGACTTGAAGCATGAGCAGCCTGGTGTCAGTCTAGTGAAGCTGGAGGAATGGCATCCTTAGTAAAGGGAGGAGCAAGGACAGCAGAGTGTTTGAGAAGCCACAAGAATGCCTAGAATCGATTGTGGAAAGTCTCTATCAAATCAGGGAAGCCTGGTAGTGTTAGCATGAGAAGATGGCATGTCAAACTTTACAGGACCTACTGTGACTGTAGCCTTATGGCTCTTCTGGGTAGTGATGATTGCAAAAACAGCCTTAGAGCCACATTCAGTCTATACATGATTGCCCACCCAGAATGAGAGCAACATGGGTAGTGAAATGACCTGGGCTCCAGTCACTCACTGGCCACAAAATCAGTGGGACCCAAGTTATGTTTCTGTCCCTAGGCTTCAGTTTCCATCTATGTAAAATGGTGGGATAGGATTATATAATAAACTCTAAGACAGGGGCAGCACATATGCCTTATCTTACTGTTCCAGTTGATTAGAAATGTCTGCCACCAGCCCAGTTCTAGGACTCTGTTCTTGGTTAGTGATGTCTGCCCTGGAACCACTGTGTCCCAGCAGTGGGCTACACACTAGCTAGTCCTGCTCTGCCCTGCCTTCTTTCCCAGTGACAATATTCTGTGCTCCTATGAGAAAGAATATGTGAGCATCACTTTCACATGAAAAGCTGTGTGCCTGGCCTGAGTTACCTGTACATGTTTTGATGCTGGTGGAAAAAAAATGAAGAGTCAAAACCTAAGAGGCAGAAGTCCAGGAAGAAGAGGCAAGGAAATTCAGGACACAGATGGCACCAGAATGGGTAACTGGGCTTAAATCATCTTTAAATTTTGTGTCTGTGGGTTTTCCTTCTAATACACCTAATTTTGAAATGGAATCTGTTTTTCGTCATGTGCCTAATTTGTCTAACCTGTGACTCCCGGCTAGATTTCAGGCTGCTTATAAATAGCTAGTGTAGGTAGGTGAGAAACTTGCACAGAGCCTCTGCCTGACACTGTGTAAGCAAGTGTGGACCCCTCCCAGCCTACTTCTATGGGATACAAAAGGACTCTGTGCCACCCACTCACTCATCCTCCGAGAGGGGAAGTCAGAAACACAAACACACTCACTTTACTTGTTCTTGAATCTTGTACTAAAAAGAGCCATGTAGGCTTGAAATAGCTAAATGATTTTAATTTAAATGGGGCTGTCTTAGATGCAGGAGAGAAAAACAAAACAAAACAAAACAAAAAAACCAGAAACCGAGTTGTTAATGGCCCACTCCTATCTTTCACTGTTGAATTCTACACTCTGAACTGCCACACACTAAGGGAAGCCCAAGTCTAATCTGTCTCATTTTCCTTTCCTTCAGCTTCACAGGTTCTCTTTGCACACCCCAAGGTATTTAAATATGTACATTTAACAGGGGCATAGGCATAGTTTAAGAATAGGTATAGGGAAAGGCACAGGTATAGGTACAGGTAAAGGTAAAAGTATAGGTATAGTCATTGGTACAGGGAAAGTTATAGATACAAATAAAGGTATAGGTATAGATAAAGGTAAAGGTATAGATACAGGTACAGGTATAGGTAAAGATAAAGTTATATAGAAGTAAAGGTAAAGGTATAGAAGTAAGTATTGGTATGGGTATAGGCAAATGTGTAGGTTACAAACAGGTAAAGGTATAGATATAGACAAAAGTAAAAATATAAGGAAATGTATAGGTAAAGGTATTGGTACAGGTACAGGTACAGATATAAATATAGATATAGATATGCAGTTAAAGCTTCTTACTTCAAATCTTCATCAACTAACTTAACAATAATGTCAAAATAACAAACCCCAAAACACTCCACTAATTTCACCAACACTTAGTCTTTCTAGAGGTTTTTGAATGAAAGGGAAATATAACCTGAAGGCTGCAGAAGTTCTATAGAAACTGGTCTTTTTCATCAGGGTCCTCTATGTATCCAGAAGCAGTCACCTGTTGGGGTAGGGACTTTCCTCTACAAGTGGACTAAAATATACAAACCATTATAGATGGAACCTTCTGTGAGTCTATCTTCTTTCAGTTTTTCTAATACTGATAATAATTTGCATTTCAGTAGTACACGGAATTGTACAGAACGTTTAAAACTATGCAGCTCCATCTTTATGCTGGCTCCTGATTCTGTAGGTGGGAAGAGTAAGTCTCCAAGGGGAGAGAAGTCTGAGTTACCCTCCCTGCACTTCTAAACCCCAGCAGCCCGACGAGGCCATCTTTCTCCACTGAACAAGCCAGTTTTTCTACTTGGGCTGTTTCTAACTAAGGCGGCTCCTTGTGCCCACCCAGAGATGTTCCTTATGGAAGCACTCTCTATTCTGGACAGCATCTTCAGTGACTCTTGCATATTTATTTTAAAAATTATTTTCCCCCTTTTCCTTTTGTCACACCAGTCTACTGAAGTTGCTGGTGACAAATTTGGCTGAGTTCAGTACTTTAAGTCCACAAACCTTGGTGCCCCTCACTTATCTTTATGCTTGGACATATAGACAATTAGATAACTCGCTAACAACTGAGAAGTTACAATAGGCTAAACAGCTCTGTGCAGAATCAGCAGCATTAGACAGCAGTTATAATCTATGAGCAATAACTTTGATGGGTCTAAAACTGTGGATAAATCAGTCTTCTTCCATCCATTCAAGCACAGAACAGGGAATTACAGAGCAAGGAAAGATCTAGCAGAAAAATTTCTAGAAGACTTCTTATCTAGAAGAAATCTATTTCTTCTCTAAGGCTGTGAAATGGTTGTGATTACCAGGCTATTACATGATCATGGCCAGAGACACCCATGGAAATTGCCAAGTCAACCACGTGTAGATACAGGTGTAGGCCTAGATGAACAAAGCAAGCTAAAGAAAATGCAAGTGTTCAGGAGTGTGTAAAGTTATTGGTCAGGCCCTTCTCCATCCCCATCATTTCATGAAGGATGGGAGCATGGTCAAGGGATGCTCTTCTTAGGCCCCAGTCAGTTTTTGTGGGAACAGCATAATCTTCAACTGTGAATGATATAATTTTTCCACAATACCAATAGCCAATTAATATTTTTAAAAAACATTCTTCTGATTCACCTGGCTTTAACTTTCTTGTTATGGTTGGCTAGAATATCTGGGAACAAATACCATATACTCTAAGGTACACGTTCTCCTTTTTTCTTTTTTATTGTGGTAAAATACACATAATGTACCATCTGCCATTTTCAAGTGTACAGTTCTGTGGCATTAAGTACATTCAGACTGTTGCACATGCTCTCCGGTTTAATGTATACCTACCCCTCCTTTTTTTTTTTTTTAAATGAGGGATATATTACTAACCTCTCACTTCCCGTTGATGATACTCTTTGTTTTTGAGAATGGGGTGTGAAATCCACATCCAGGGATGATGCTTGCGGAGCTGAGGGAGCACGTAATGTGTTACAAACCCCACGGCTCCAGCCAAGGCAAACAGCACGATGCTGAGAAATGGCTGCGATAAAAATGGGCAGAATCTCATTACTTAGCCTAGAGGATGGGGAGAGGGATGCCCATGAATAATACATAACATCACTGTCCTTCCACTTTTTCCTCTTAACGGATAGCCAGACTCAGTTCTTGTTTCAGGCCTCTGAAAATGTCTTCTCTATACCATGAAATTGGTTCATGTGTTGGAAACCACTATGAGGGTGAGGGAGAACTAGCCTATGGAATACAGAGGCCAACAGAATTATGCCCCTTGGAATACATTTTTAAAATTTTCCAATGAGGAGGTGAAGAATAACCCATGCAGCTCACAGACATTTCCTCATGAAAAGGGGAGTTCATGGATGGACAATATTTTTGTATAGAGAAAGCAACTGTCTGGAAGGACCACAGCCAGGAATCCCATCTGGAGCTCCCCACTTTGTTTTTCTAACTGAAAATCCTTTTCCCATAGTCCTTTTGGCTCTGTGACCTCTGCCTCACCCCGATACGGTGACTCCTCTTTTCTCTATTCATAGTAGAGCACTGTTAGCCCACCATATGACTATTAACTGTCCTCACAGTGGATTCCACAAGATGTGCCATCATTCTTGCAAACAAAACAGCTCCCCAGATGCAGGAAAGGGTAAGGATAAAGCAATCGAACCCTATCTGTGATGTGGACCAAGTCACATCTTGGACATAACTGTTCACAGTACATGGATTCATTCCCTAAGCCTCTCAGCGGGCATTTTGTTTTCTTTCTCTGGCTCACGTGTCTTGTCAATACCCTGTAGCTCCATGACAGCTTTGTTATTAAGGAGAATAAGGGGGCAGGAAGAGTACAAAGTTGGTGGATACATACTCGCAATGACAGGAATACAGTGCTGGCGCTGACTGCAAATGAGAGGACAGCAACCACTGCGCAGACGATGAGATCCCATTTTAAGACATCCGTCTGGAAAGAGAAAACCAGCGGTAAAGGCGACTCTTCATTTCTCTCAGCAACTCTGTGTAACCAGGTAAATCAAGCAGCAGGACATTGACCCAAGATAAACTGTTTTTCCAGCCCATCACTTACCTGACACACTCATTGGCACATACTGGATGGGCTGTTCATTAGCTTCTGCTTAGGGAATTTCAGGAAGACTAAGGTGGGCTGGGGGAGAGTGGTGGGGGAGAGGAATCACACACTGCAAGGTTAGTGTCTGGGTGCTAACCATAGAAAGAAGAAAGGTTTTCTACACAAGTAAGAGGCATGAGGTTCTTGTAAGGTTCTTGTATCTGATCTGTGTTTCCACAAACACAGATCAGATATGAGATTCCCAGAGAGCTCCCCAAAGGGACTTAGATAAGGTCTGATAAAGGAGGTCAAAGTGCTAATCATCTCTATGTGGCTTTAGGGTGTCTTGGATTTTAACATTCCAAAAACCTGGCTAAAACAAACAGAAACCTCTTATACGTTTCTTATTGCTTTGGACTAGACCAGATTTTGCATTTTAATTTACCAGTCAGATCACTGGTGAATTAAAGAAACCACTTCAAAATTATTTTTTATATATATATATATTTATATATACATATATTTATATATACATGTATGTTTATATTTATATATATACATAGATATATGCAAGAGGTACACACATTACATGCAGACAATGAAATGTTCAGTAACTCACTAATACTTTTTCATACAAAACTGTAGTGTAAGCAGTGGCTAGGGAAAACAAAGCAAAGTTCAGCCTGAGAATGCTGTGAATGCAGATAGATGGAGAATGGCCTGTTAGCTCCAATGGAGCACAATATTGCTGGCTGAACAATCTAAAGCAAACAGGAGGAACCATCACTTCTTTTCTCTCTGTAGAGGTGGATTAGTTATATTACACAATTATTGATCATTTGAAGGTATCACACTGTTACCTGAAAAGTCTGAAATCTTCAATACATTTATACCTCCCTTTCTCATATCGAAGGGATTTATGCCTTTTAAATCACTGTTTTTTAAATTAAAATGTGGGGTTTCTTGCAAGTCATGCTCCTTCCTGGCTTGCTGACCGTATTATCATCCAAAGTGATAAAAAGAAACAGTGAAAAAGTCGGGACCCTAGATTTATTCATAGTAATTAATGGTGTCTGATTTTGGGGCAGTGATAACCATAGGAATTTAATTCTGAATCTATGAAATGCTTGTGATCAGAGAAATTCACCAAAAATTTACTTTAGCAACAGGCCATATATTGCTTCCTATCATTCCAAATGTTTAAGAAAGACCAGACCTTTCTAGAGGAACATTCTGTAATTCACTGCATCTTTTGGCTGTGGGGAGATGTTAATTTTTCTCTCCTATTTTTCATTAACATGGTTTTATGTCATTTAAAAATTACTGAATGTTTATCTGAAAGAAGATAAACATTTTCCCGAATATTCTAATTTAAAATCATGTGTTATGTTTAACTGACTAATCATCTTTGTCTAAAAGGAAAACAGTCGGCCACCAGTATGACTGCTGGAGTGGGGAGGAAGGAAGGCTGCATTTCTAAGTTTCTTAAAGCAGAAGCAGGAATGAGCTCGAATTATTATTAACCTTTTTTTCACAGTTGGATGATATATGGGAATTCCACTGTGATTTCTATCAGTGTCATGAGTATCCCGTGTAAATACAGACCATTACACAGCCTTTCTCTATTTATTAAAATGTTCTCTCCACCCATTTCTTTCCTATATTATAATTTCTAAATAGTTATTGAGATAAAATTGGTACCAAAAAGCCACATATATTTAAAGTGCACAACTTAGGCCGGGCGCTGTGGCTCACACCTGTAATCCCAGCACTTTAGGAGGCCAAGACAGGTGGATCACTTGAGGTCAGGAGCTCAAGACCAGCCTGGCCAAACATGATGAAACCTCTGTCTCTACTAAAATACAAAAATTAGCCGGTTGTGGTGGCTCACACCTGTGGTCCCAGCTACTCGGGAGGCTGAGGCAGGAGAATCGCAGAACCCAGGAGGCTGAGGTTGCAGTGAGCCGAGATCACACCACTGCACTCCAGCCTGGGTGACAGAGCGAGACTCTGTCTCAAAAAAGTAAAAGTATACAACTTAACAAGTTTATATGTATATTTTACATGTATAAATTATATAACATATATATAATTCTGGTTATGGTTTTATGGGGATATATATAAATTATGGGACTATATATATCCCCATAAAACCATAACCAGAATTATGATAACTAGCACATCCATTACACCCCAATGTTTCCTCTTTTGCTTCTTCCTAATCTATCCCTTTCCTCACTATAGCCTTGACTTTCTGTCTTTAGTGATCCTTCTGCCTCAGCCTCTTGTTTTCATTTTCTAGAATGTTATATACATAGATTCATAAAATATGTATGGTCTGGCTTCTTTCACTCAGTGTACTTATTCTGAGATTCATCCATGGTGTCGTCTGTGTCAACAGTTCATTCCTTTTCATTGCTGAGTAGTATTCCTCTGTATGGATATACCACAATGTGTTTATCTGTTCACCTGTGGGTAGATGTTTGAATTTGTTCCCAGTTTTTGGCTATTTGCAGCTAAATAAAGCTGCAACAAATATTCATGAACATTTCCCTGGACATGTTATTTCTTTTCTCTTGTGTAAATACCTAGAAGAATGGCTGGGTTATGTAGTAGGTTTAGTCTTAACTTTTTAAGAAACTGCCATAATCCAATTAAAAACTGGGCAAAGGACGTGAATAGAAATTTCTCAAAAGAAGACATACAAACGGCCAAAAAATATTTTAAAATGTGCAACGTCACTAATCATCAGGAAAATGCAAATCAAAACCACAATGATATACCATCTCATCCCAATTAGAATGGTTATTATCAACAAATGCTGGTATGGATGTGAAAGAAAAGGAACCTTACAGACTGTTGGTGGAAATGTATCTTGATTGCTACAGCCATTATAGAAAGCAGTATGGGGAGTTTCCTCAAAAAATTGAAAACGGAACTACCATATGATCCAGCAATTCCACTACTGTGTGTTTTTCGAAGTAAATAAAATCAGTATGTTGAAGAGATATCTGCACTCCCAGGCTTAATACAGCATTATTCACAATAGCCAAGATATGAAATCAATCTAAGTGGCCATAAACCAATAAATATATAATATATATAATCACATTTTATATATGATACCATTTTTGCATATGATATATATGAAATATATATCATATATAGAAAATATATAGAAAATGTGATATACACAAACACACCCCCATGGAATACTATTCAGCCATAAAAAAGAATGTAATCCTGTCATTTTGCAGCAGCAACATGGATGAACCTGGAAGACATTATGTTAAGTGAAATAAGACAGGCACAGAAAGACAAATACCACTGAGTTCACTTATTTGTAGAATCTAAAAAAGCCAATCTCATAGAAGTACAGAGTGGAATAGTGGTTTGTAGAGGCTGGGGAGGGGAGAAGGAAGGGGGAGGAGAGATTGTTCAATGAATACAAAATTATAGTTAGAAAGAATAAATTCTGGTGTTCTACAGGATAGTAGGAAGACAATAGTAACAATATCATAATGTGTATTTCAAAATAACTAGAAGAGAGGATTCTCAATATTCTTACCACAAAGAAATGATAAATAAGTGAGGTGATATTTTAAATACCATAATTTCATCATTGCAGAATGCATACATGTATGAAAACATCACAGTGTACCCCCATAAATGTGTACAATTATTGTCAATTAAAAGCAAAATTAAAAAAAGAAACTGCCAAGCTGTTTTCAAAGTAGTTGTAACTATTTTACATTCTCAACAGCAGCATGTGTGAGTTCCAGTTGCTCCATAGTCTTGTCAATAGTTTTTAAAATTTTAACCATGCTAGTGAATATATGCCTCCTAGGGCACATTTTGCAGTATCTGGAGACATTTTGGTTTTTACAATTTGAGGAAGGGAAGAAATAATACTGCCATTTGGTGGCTAGAGACCAGGGATGCAGCCAAACATCCTACAATGCACAAGACAGCACCCCCAACCTCCACTTCCCTGCAACCAGGGAAATATTCTGAGGCTCAAAATGTCAACAGTGCTGAGGTTGAGAAACCTTAATGGAGTGGTATCTAATTGTGGTTTTAATTTGCCTTTTCCAATGACTAATGATGAACATATTTTCATGTACTTAATTTAAAGTACTATTTATAATAGCACTAAAAGTATATTTAGGGATAAATTTGAGAAAAAAAGTGTGCAAGACGGAAACCACCTAACATCAGTAAAGAAATGAGAGAAACTAAACAGATAAACTAAATAAATAAATGGGGAGATATACTGCATTCCTGGATTTGAAGATTCAGTATTGTTAATAAGTCAATTCTCACAAAACTGATTGATAAATTCAATGAAATTGTAATGAAAATTCTAGCAGAATTTTTTTTAGAAACGAACATGCTAATTTAAAAATGTACATGGAAATGCAATAGACCCTAGAATAGCTAAAACGACTTTGAAAAATAAAAAGTTGGAGGACATACAATACCTGGTTTCAAGGTTTATTACAAAGCACAGTAACTATGGTATTGATGGTATTGGTGCAAATACACATCTAGATCAATGGAAAAGAATAAAGTGTCCAGAAATAGGCCACAACAGATATATGACCAATTGATTTTCGACAAAAGTGCAATGGTGAAATGACAAATCCCCTAAATGAAGAAAAGGATAATCTTTTCTATGAAAGGTGCTGGAACAATGGAATAGCCAACTATAAAAATAAATAAATAAATAAATAAATTAAATTAAACAATAACAAAAACATCTTGATACTTTGCTGCACATACAGTAATTAACTCAACATCATGAACCTAACAAACCATCAAACTGCTCAAAGCAACCATAAGAGGAAATCTTAATGATCCTGGATTTGGCAAAGATTTCTTAAATGGAGCACTAAAAGTTGGAACTATAAAAGAAAAAATTAAATAAATTGGACATCACAAAAATGTAAAACTTTTGCTCTTCGAAAGACACTTACAAAAAGGCAAGCCAAAGACTAGGGAAAAAAAAATTACTACTCATAAAACCCACATTCAACAAAGGACATTTACCTATAAACAAACAACACCCTCCTACATCCCCAGCTGCACATGATAAAAAGTTCTGAACAGACGCTTCACTGAAGGAGATATACAGATGGCAAATGGTAATTACTGAGCTTTTTACTCTTGATGCTAGTTAATGAAACTAGACTGCTCTCCTAATATTGCTGAAAATACCATCAGCAAAATCAAAAGGAAACAGTTGTTTTTCCCCAAAGCCACCAAAAAGCAGATATTATTCTGCTCCAAAAATTTTATCCTGGAAAATAATATATTTTTTTTTGGTGGGAATGTAGATAGGTGCAACCCATTATGAAAATAATATGGAAGTTCTAAAGAAATTTAAAAATAGGCCAGGTGTGTTGGTTCCCGCCTGTAATTCCAGCACTTTGGGAGGCCGAGGTGGCAAGATTGCTTGAGGCTGCAAGTTCAAGACCAGCCTGGGCAACATAATGGGAACCCATCTCTATATTTAAAAAAAAAGATACTAAAAACAGAACTACCACGTGCCCCAGCAACCTCTCTTCTAGGCATATACCCAAAGGAAATGAAATCACCATGCCATAAAGACATTTGTGCTACCACGTGTATTGCAGCACTGTTCACAATAGCCAAGATGTGGAAACAACCTGAGTGTCTGTCAACAGATAAATAATGGATAAAGAAATTCTAATATAAATGTAAATGGAATATTTTTCAGCCTTTATGAAAAGAGACATCCTGCCATTTGCCACAACATGGATGAACCTGGAGCACATTTTGCTAAGCGAAATAACCCAGACACAGAAAGACAAATACTGCGTGATTTCACTTTTATGTAGAATCTAAAGAGAGAGAGAGAGAGAGAGAGAGTCAAACATACAGAGATAGAGAATAAAACAGTAGTTAACATGGGCATGGGGGAGGTAGAGATGGGGATATGTGTGTTAGAAATTATAAAGTAGCAGATATGTAGGATAAACAACTCCAGCGATCTAATGTACATGAGAACTATAATTAATAAAACTGTACTATATTTGGGATTCCTGCAAAATAAGTAGATTTTAGCTGCTTTTGCCACAAAAACAAATAAAAATGGGTAACTATGCGAGATGATGGATATGTTAACTTACTTCACTATAGTAACCATTTTACTATCTATAGGTACCTCATGACATTGTGTTATATACTTTAAATATACACAATAAAATCTCTTTAAAAAATAAAAATATCTTTAAAAGGAATCTTGTAAAACACCTGAACTTCAGAGCTTGCTACTGTGTCCTGTGAAAGCAGCCTTTAATAAGCTCTAAAAAGTTTGTAACTTTGGTTGGTTTTCTTGTTAAATAACTTTTTGCTCATTTAAATGTATATACCTTTCCACCTTCTATAAGATATAAATATATGTAGGTTTTTTCAGGTAGGTATATTTTATTTTGATCTTAGTTTTGTAATATAAAAAGAGAATTTACTGGTACTGCCCTCTTCCTTCACGTTTGAAGGTTAAAAAAATCTGTGACTCTGTTAAATTACTTATCTAAAAAACAAGAGTTTAAGTATCTGTTTCCTTTTAATAAATGTCCTATGTCTTAATAGTGAATTCTACTGTGTTAGATATTACAAAAATGAGTGTGAAAGGGAATATACTGCAAGATGGAAGCAAAAAGCAAATTTAGGTCTTTGTAATTTTTATTATTCATTAAGTTTCCCATTATAGAATAACACAATAATATTGCAGCACCCTAGAACATAGAGAAGAGAGGGGAAAATCATTCACAATCATTATAGCCTGACATTAACAGTATTAGTATTTTTGTGTTTTCTGAGCCAGTATTTTTCCTGTTGATGTTAAACCAGGCTCTAGCTATAATCATTATGTATATGAATATTTCTATGCATATTTTATAAGTATCTAATCTTAGTGTGCAAATAATTTTCTACCTTTTCCACAGTATTTTCTTTTGTAAGCTATATATATATAATTGTATAGGCTCACTAATATCATTTAGTGGTTAAATAATTTTCCATCTTGTGATATCATACACATACAATGCCATAGTGATCACTCAAAACATTAATTTAGTGAATGAAATTGAACGACTCATAGTGCAAACATCCCTTGACTGCTACTATTAGGTTGCCTTCCATTGTTTACCATGATGAATTATGCTGAAATCATTATCTTTATATACTAATTTTTTTTCATATTTTGAATTAATTTCCTAGAAAAACTCTAGCAAATACATTTACTCTATCATAGGTTGTAAGCATTTCACAATCCTTGATAAATTATGCTTTTCCAGATGATTATAATAATTTACATAAACACAAATGATGTCTAAGAGATTTCATCTTGACACAATTGGCACCATCACTAATTTTTCCAGTGCTAATGATGTGTACAAAAAAAATGCCACCTCATTTTAATTTGCATTTTTAAATTCATAATAATGGTAATTATTTCATACATTTACTTAATTTGTTCCTAAATTTTATATAAAATTTCAAATGGCTTCATTTTGGAGCTCAGATATATACATATTTGTGTACAATTATATACAAATGATACACATATAATTTGCCTATAGGGTTTTAAAAATCAAATTATAAGGGTTGTTGGTATTAGAAAGATATTTAACTTTCCTAAGTTTGCCACAAGTACTGTATCAAATTATTTAAATTTTTCCACCTTTTTTTACATACAGAAGTTTAAAATTTTTATGTTCTTAAATCTAACTCGGGGTATTGTGTGTGTGTTATTTATTTTATGGATCCTAAGTCTGAAAAATCATTTTCTCTGTATATTTTGGATAAATATTTGATTTTATTTAATATATTTTTTGAAAATTTATTTTACTGTTTTAAAATGTGACACAGGGCCGGGCGCGGTGGCTCACGCCTGTAATCCCAGCACTTTGGGAGGCCGAGACGGGCGGATCACGAGGTCAGGAGATCGAGACCATCCTGGCTAACACGGTGAAACCCCGTCTCTACTAAAAATGCAAAAATTAGCCGGGCATGGTGGCGCGCGCCTGTAGTCCCAGCTACACGGGAGGCTGAGGCAGGAGAATGGCGTGAACCCGGGAGGCGGAGCTTGCAGTGAGTCGAGATCGCGCCACTGCACTCCAGCCTGGGCGACAGAGCGAAACTCCGTCTCAAAAAAAAAAAAAAAATGTGACACAGGTAACCATAAATTGCATATAATAAGTATGTACAGTTTAATAATTATAAAGTGAACACCTCTGTAACCACCAACTAGTTCAATTAATCTAACATTTCCAGCATCCTAGAAGCTTCTTGTATGTGGCTATCTGATCAAAAATCCTTCTCTCGCCTTCTGGAGGTTCCCATCAACAATCCTGACTGGTGAAAATCATTTTCTTGCTTGAAAAAAAAAAATGATTTCACTACTTACGACTTAGGTATGCAACTGTAAGCTGTTTAATTTTGCCCATTTTTACTCAATATATTGTACCATACTATATGCATTATTTTGTGTCTTGCTTCCTTTGCTCAACATTACGTGGTTAAGATTCACTCATGCATTGCATTTAGCTGTAATAAGTTTATTTCCTTTGCTGTAGAATACTCATTTGGCACTTTCATGAAAAGGTGCTATTATGAACAATTTTATATGTGTATTTTGGTGCAAATGTGCAAGATTTGCTCCAGAATAAGTACCTAGGAGTAGAATTGCTGGCTGCAGTCTATTCATGTCTTAAACTTTATGTTATTAAACTTTTGTCCAAAATGTGTATACTAATTCACACTCCCACCAGCAATACATGAGAATTCTCTTGCTCTACACTTGTCAACACTTAGTACTCTGAGAACTTTACATTTTTTTTAGTCTGGTAGTTTTGAAATGGTGAGTCGGTGTGATTTTAATTTGGAGTTTTCTGATGATTAATGAGGTTGCCCATATATTCATGGTTTTTGGCCATTTATATTTCCTCATTTGTGAAGTGTATGTACAAGTCTTCTGCCTATTTTCAATGGAGATATCTGGTTTTCTTATTGATTTAGAGGAATCTTATACTCATCTAGACACTAGTCTCTTTTCTGTAAAATTTAAAATAATAAATCAAAGGTCATAATTTTAATTAATTTGAATCTTTTGTGTTGTTTTAAAAAATTATTTCCTACACTGCTATCATAAAAGTAGTTTCCATTATTATGACTCTAAGTGCTTTCAGGTTTTATTTTCTCATATTTAGGCTTATAATTTACCTGGAATTGACTTTTAAGTATAGTATGACATATTAGTCCAATTTCCTTTTGTTATTTGTGAATCACTTCTATTTTTTAGTTTTCCGTTTTTCCCTCTGTTTGGATTTGGAAGCTACATGCTTTGTTTCTATTCCTTTAGTAGTTGCACAAAACATTCCAACATGCATACCTAATTTATCACAGACCAAAGTTAATGGTACGGGCTGAGCAGCCCTCATCCGAAAATCCGAAATGCAAAACACTCCCTTCCTTTGTGCGTCACGTTGGTGCTCAAAATGTTTTGGATTTTGAAGCATTTCAGGTTTTGGATTTTTGAATTAGGGACATTCAATCTGTATCTTTATTCTTCTCTTGGACATTACGAAGACCTCTGACGACTTGAAGTTCATTTCTCCTCTCGTCTAAACTTGTTTATTATTATTATCATGTATTTTCATTCTACCTTACATTTTTTAAGCCAACTATATAGTCTTATCATGGTTTAATGCAGTTAATATTTACTCAGGTTTGCCAATGTACCTGCCACTTTCTTTTCTTTTTGTTCACTTGCAAATCAGATCTTCCATCCAAGACCACTTTTTTTTTTTAAATCTTTTTTTTTCTCCTCAAATTACTTTTAACACAAGGTCACTTTCTACTGAAAAATATCTTCAGAATTACATGTAATGAGGGTCTCTGAGCTTTTGTTTTTCTAAAATTTATTTTGCCTTTATCCTTAAAAGATATTTTCACTAGGAGTAAAGTTCTAGCTTGGTAGTTACTTTCTTTACACATCATTAAGTATATCCAACAACTGTCTTCTGGCTTCCATGAGGGCTCTTGATAAGGGAGCTTGCAGCCTCTCATCCATTTGAATGAGATCTGTTCATTCTGTTTACCTGCTTTAAGTTGGTCTGTGTGCTTGGCATGCTGCATTTTCACTATGGCTTGTCTGGTGCGGATTCTTTTTTCTTTAATTTACCCTACTTGTGATTCACTGAAATTCCTGAATCTCAAGATAAGTGTCTTTCATCAATTCTGGTAAACTCTCAGATATTATCTCATCAAATATTGATTATGCTTCAGTCTCTCTCTCTTTTTCAAGGAATTCTGATTGGATATATTTTAGATTTTCTCACTCTATCCTTCAAGTCATTTCTCTTTCAAATTTCTTGATTTTTTTTCTTTTGTCAATTAGTGTTATGTTCTGGGTACTTTCTTCTCTCCTTATCTTTCAGTTCACTAATTCTCTCTTCAGAGGCATCTAATCTCCCATGTGTGGGGTGTGTGGTGGTGTATATTTCAATTGATTCATTTGTTTGTTTGTTTGTTTAGGAAATTCTATTTGGCTCTCTTTCAAACATGCTGGATTGTTTTAAATATTTTCTATGGTCTATAAATTTTAAAGCTTGCCTTTTACTTCTTTAAGCATCTTAAGTATAGTTGTTTTAAAATCTGTGTCTGATACTTCCAATATCTGAAATATTTGCAGACCTGTTTCTGCTGGTTCCTTATTTCCAAGTTTAGGTTAAAATTTTTTTATAGTAAGCTGTGCATTTTCCCTAAAAAAACTGGTTTGGGAAACACTTGGACAAGGCAACCTTCTAGAAAGGATTTATGTTTGTTTCTGCCATGAGGCGTTTCCAATTGGGTACCACGTTAAATGTCTTCATAAATTGAGGGATTTGGTGCCATCTAGTTGTTTGAACTTGTGCTGCAAATCCATGCAAACTTATGACTTCTCAAGGATTCTCTTATTCTGCTCAATCATGAGGTGAGTCTGCTTGCACTTCCTGGTGTGGAGGGTGGTAGAGCTGACTTCCTGAGGATCATCCTCACTCTGAGAGTGTGGCACTTTGGTGTCCCAGGCTGATGATCCATGGTCTGGCATTGGACACCCACCTGGGCTTCAATTCCTGTTCTCCATAGTTCGAGGTCTGAAAAACAAGGCTTAAGGTCCCCAGGTTGGGCAAATGCTCTTGGGGCAAAAGCAGCTTCCTGCCCTGCTTCCTCCAGGTACTCCTGTTCAGTAAGATTTTAAGCTGATAATTCCTTATTATTTTGTCAGGTTTTGTTACATTCAGGAAGAGTTTTTTTGTATTTTATTCAGAATTTTTAGTTTTAATCAGCAGTAACCTGCCATAATATCAGAAATGAAAAAGTCCCACGTGACTTTCCTCGTTTTCTTTTCCCTCTTCCTCTCTCTCACTTTCTGAAACTCTTAAATCCCTCTCTCATTTACATTGGTGTCTGGCGAGGGACTAGCACATAAGATTCATTTTTCTTTCCCACTGCTAAACAATTACCTCAACACTAGACTCTGAAAATCAATTTTTGATTGTGACATTTAATTTTGACATAATACATTCATAAAAGAGTCTGTCTCCTTTCTGTGTTTTTCTGATCCACTAATCCCATTCTCTGATCTTGGATAGTCTCATACTTTTTTCTGATTATTCAGTCTTCACTCTTTTTTTTTTTTTCTCTTTTTAAAGACAGAGCTTCACTCTTGTTGCCCAGGCTGGAATGCAGTGGCGCGATCTCGCTGCAACCTCCACCTCCCGGGTTCAAGTGATTCTCCTGCCTCAGCCTCCCAAGTAGCTGAGACTAGAGGCATGTGCCACCACACCTGGCTAATTTTGTATTTTTAGTAGAGATGGGGTTTCACCATGTTGGCCAGGCTGGTTTCGAACTCCTGACCTCAGGTGATCCACCCGCCTCGGCCTCCGAAAGTGCTGGCATTATAGGTGTGAGCCACCATGCCCAGCCCAGTCTTCACTCTTAAATCTAAAAGTGCTAAGTTCCTTTTTCTTATGCTTCTTTCTCAAGTTTTTAAAAACTATTAGCTGCTATTCTTCTAAAGGAACCTTAGAATCATTTATCAATGTTGGGAATATAATGCCTTTGGAACTGTTTTGAATTATATGAAACCTACAAATTCATTAGAAAGAATTGGCATTTTATAAATCTCAGCCTTCCTATCCAAAATCAGGTTATGTCTATCTCCACTTATTCAGAACATCATTTACATTTTAATAAACTGCGGTAGTTAGTTTACTTTATTTGTGACACTACTTGTTAGAAATCATTTCCATTATCAATTCAGACATTTTGTTGGTATTGTGAGTTGGATCACATTTTCATAGGTTATTTCTGGTATGTTAGAAAGTTCTTGCTTTTCTAAATTTTCTTTTCTCTGGTTGTATTTATGAATACTCTTATTAATCATAGTTGATTATATAGTATGCACAGAAAAGTTTTATATACACATATAAATCATCATTTTTTTCTTTTTCTCTTTGCTCTTTACTCTTTACTATTTTGCTTTTCATTTTATATATACATAAAACAAATATATAATTTAAATTTTATATATAATATATAAAATTATATATAAATATATTTAATTTGTATATTATATATAATAAATTATATATTATATGTAATATATAACATATTTTATATATTATATAGTATTATAATAAATATGTATTTAATTTATATTATATATTATATAAAAATTATGTTATATATTTAATTTATATTTTATATAAATTATATATAATATGTAATATATAATTTATATTTTATATAATGTAAAATAGCAAACTATTAATATTATTGAATATTGTTTTAGAAGTTCTGGCCAGTGTAAGGCTGCAAAGAGAAAAAAATGAAAAATTTATATATAAATTTATATATAAATTTTTGGATTTATGGTAAATCCGTGCATGTTTAACTAAGAAATATATTAGCTTTTCATATACTGAACATTTTAAATTCACTGTGGCATTTTATATAGTACTTCACACTCCAACTCTCAAAGGAAGCTTAAGAACCCCTGTTCCAACATTCCACATCTAGCAGCATGGGACCAGAAAAATCTAGATATTATAACCAATGATTTAGGAAAAGACTGTTTGAATTTTACACATAAGAATTAAATAGGCTTTTTTTTGTTTCTAGGAACTGAAGAAAATTGATACAGTGAAACAAACAAATCTAAACATAATAAAGGGTGTTGAAAATGACAAAGATATGAAAGTTAAAAGAGTCTGTGCTAATAAGACAAATAGAAAAAGACTAACCAGGTAAACCATTAGCGGAAAGTTTATATCTTTATTAAGTAATGAATTTTGGTGATAAACTTTGTGTGCATAACTTATCTTGCTCATATGCAAATGTATAGGCCCATTGGTATATCTCTGTTTCTAGATCAATGTTTCCTGAAGTGCAATCTGTGGATCACCTAAACAGAATCACCTGGGTGAACATTCTTGTTAAAATGAAGATCCTCAGACCCCCTCACAGGCCAGATGAATCAGAATATGGGCAGAGGGCTAGAAAACTGAAATCTAATGAGGCTCCCTGAGGGGTTCTCATACAGACTAAAACTCAAGAAGAGAGACAGACAGACAGAGAAAATAAGAGCTGGAGACACAGAGAAACAAAATCAGAGACAATGGGAGGGGGGTTTATGCTTGCACAGTGTCACAGAAGGTATTATATCAAACTCTAAAAGCTGAATGTGATATTCCCATTAAAATATTATAATTAGGCCAGAGACTTTTCAGAGAAATGAACACAAACATCTTATTAAATCACCTAACAAGTTATGTGCTCCACACTGTACAAAGCATTTCAAAGGGTATGAAAACCAAGGGAGGCAACACCTAGCCCATCACATCTAATTATACCAATGAAATACTATCAACCTCTGCTGGGCAAATTTCTTGTCAAATTTCCTTGTAATTCCTACCTTTTTTTTAACTGCAATAAATCAGAAAGTAGAAATGCATCTTCATTAGTCATGAAATCAAGGAAGATTGAAGGGCATAGTTTTTCTCAGATATCCATGGGGAGACTTTTGGGTAGACTCTGGGCCACCCTACGGCTTTTACAGAAAATGCTGTAGGAATGTCAGTTTGACCTTCTCCCTGTAAGTCTCCTGGTATAAATATTAGAGGTCAGGTTGTGGATGCTAGGCTTATGTCAAATATTTCTCTTTTTTTTTAAGCTGCCATCTCATCAGGCCCAGCTGCTTTGACTTTTAACCTGCTTTTAAATGTATCTCTGCTCCTAAAATTCATGAACTATGCCCTTACTCATATTAAGTGATTTGTCCTTTGATTCCCTTGTAGTGGAAAAAAAGCCTTAATACTAGTTTGAATTCTGACCACACTCAAAGGCACAAAAGCTGAGTATGAATTTTTTTAAGGCTATCATGTTGGCTGTGAGTCCTGTACGTCGTCTTGAAATGGCAGACTGCAATTAAATTCATCGAAATTCCATGAACTGTACTGAGCACCCACTGTAACACCGGGCACTGGCTCTGTGGATATCAAGACAAATGAGACACAGTCCTGGCTGGATCAACAGACTATTTCTCTTTTCCTTTTATCTGTCATTCCTAAGAAAACCAGGAAAAGTGTGAGTCAAGGACATCAGAGGCTCCAAGCTCAATACTCAGATGTATGGGAGCTTACACAATTAATGAGCATTGTGTTTCAAAGTATGAATGTTTGTAAGTTGATACCAAAGAAACGACATCTGCTAAAAGAACTTTTGAAGCTGTCCAGAGCCCTTATCCTGGTGAACAAGGAAATGGCATCATTATTTTATAGTTGTAGGATTCTCTTGTTCCTTCCTTTCTCTCCTTCTTCCTTTTCTTCTCCCGTGCTCCACCCAGTGTGGTTGCCCCCTTCTCTGTGACCCAGCCATAAGTCTAAAGTCCAAGGGCCCCAAGCAATCGCTATGCAGACATCAACTTTGAAAGAATGCTCTGAACTAAGCATGGTGCTTAGGGGAGAAGATGTGGAGAACAGCTGTGTGTGGACCACATCAGGAGGGCAGGTTGGCTAAACGTTTATCTGACAAGCTTTCATTTGTGCAGAGCCCACCTGCTGTTTGGTGCCAGCAATACACAAAACGGACTGAATGTGATTCATGTGACTATCCTGGCAAACTGCAGCCACCTGAGGGCCACCTAAGTGGCCACACCATGTGTGCACAACAGCCACCATCAAGATGCTCTAGGCTGGGGGCGGTGGCTCACGCCTGTAATCCCAGCAATTTGGGAGGCTGAGGCAGGCAGATCACGTGGTCAGGAGATCGAGACCATCCTGGTTAACACGGTGAAACCCCGTCTCTACTAAAAAAATACAAAAAATTAGCTGGGCATGGTGGCGGGCACCTGTAGTCCCAGCTACTCGGGCTGAGGCAGGAGAATGGTGTGAACCTGGGAGGCGGAGCTTGCAGTGAGCCGAGATCATGCCACTGCACTCCAGCCTGGGAGACAGTGAGATTCTGTCTCTAAAGAAAAAAAAAGATGCTCTAAAGGGCTTGTAAAAAAATAAAGTAAAGGTTCCTCTTCAAAGACTTTCCTCCCCATTTAATTAGGAATAAATAGTAACTTCTCTTAGAAGCAAAATTTATTCAAAGACCTGTGCTAACATTCTTAAATATCTGCTAGCCGTGATAAAGAAATCAATGTACTTTATGTTCTTAGCTCCCACAATTTAGCCTAAATACTTGCTCTGGCATGCTTATACTGGTCCAAGCAAGCATTAGGTCATAGCCTGATCCTCTTCCTTATTTAAAGGTGTTTTTACCTTTCTTAGCATTCCACAAGTTACTTCCTCCTTCCTTTGTTCTCCTCTACCTTTGCCTCTTCTAAAAAGTTCTAAGTTGCTAGCCAATCGGGACAAATATAGAATGTGAGGCCCCATTCCAGCCAATGGAAACCGGACACAGCAGTAAGGTGGATGTGTCAGGTTATAAATGACCCTGTCTCCTTTGTTTGGTGTACTCTCATGGCAAAACTGCTGGCGAGTGTACCCTTTCTGCAGAAAGTATAAAAATGGCCTTGCTGAGTAAGTTAAATTTACTTTCAAGTGATATTCTTTACAGCACCGGAGAGCAAGCGTTTCAAATAGGGCTGCACCTGGCAGGCAGCTCAACAGCCCAGTGTGCCAGGTACCAAGCGAGGTGTATCTTTCTGTCCTAGTCCTTCTCATGTCCACCTGCCTAGAGCTCCATTGAGAGCCTGATCTCTGCTGAAAGATGAGGCCCTCCTATGCTACATTACACAACGCAAATGTCTCACCACTGAATCTTTCATCTTCTTGGGGAGAGGGTCAGCAGCTGACTCTGCCAGATTTTGATGTAAAAATTTAGGAAACAGCCTGCATTGGATGAAGGACCTGAAAGTGGAAAAACACAATACTTCATCAAAGATGTTCCTGGGACAGTGTTTTCGGTAAATAACTTCACCTTAGATCTCACACCCACACATGACAAAAACAAGTGCTCTCTTCATTTAAAAATTTATAATAAAAAGAGGTGCATGTTCAAGTGATCATAAAGATAGTGTTTTGATTTGTAAATTTCATCCTAATGAGAGCAGTCAAGTACCTTAGCAGTATCATTGCCCTCTATTGTCAGCAGTGGGACATGGGGAAGGTCCTCCATCTCTGCTAGCCCACTAGGGCTTCATCTTCACAATTAGCAGCAAAAAGTGAACATTGCACTAATACAATTGACACTAAAAATTGTGTGAACCATGTTTAACTTTTGTTTCCCCCATTTTTCATGCCTTTCACACTACTGCACCTCATGGCCTAAAATTATGGTGTCTCTGGTCTTCAAAGAGTTACGGTTATCTTAAATCAAAATCTTTCATAAATTTAAACAAATTACATAAGATGCTACTGTCAATATCTTAAACTCACTGTGGCATCACATGAAAGATTTCCAGTGCCAGAGTACACGTTACCAAAACTTAAAGATATGATTAAAGGGAAGATTGTAATGTATACTTTCACATTACTAAGCATTACATTAAATACATTTTAACACTTTGGTGCAAATTTCACTTTAAATCCAGAGGACGTTGGCCAGATTGGGAACAACAACAACAACAAAACAATAAAATCAAACAAAATCTTTCTTTTCAGAGGTGCTGGTTTAGTCTCCCCAGGGTAACTGCCTAGAGTAAAGGCAGGGATGTAGTTAATGGATCTAGAGAGGGTATTGTTGAGGAGGCAGCTTCTTACCCAGCTCACCCAAGGGAAAGTCACAACAGGGCTTGGGTGCTATCGACCCTCTGTTCCTGCCACTGTGCATTTTACTCCAAAATCAAAAGAGCAAAACTAAAATGTTTGCTAGATGTTCATTTTTAATTGTTATTAGTTTCTGGCTGGTCCTGTATTTCTCCTTCCCTCCTCTAGTGAGTGACCAGCTAGTTTAATAATGAGAGTCAAATCACAATGGGCAGTGAATTGCTGTCTGCCCATCTCAGTCAGGGCACAAAGCTGCAGGAACTATGCCCCCAGCTCAGTGATGAGAGAGCACAGGCATAGACCACTCACATGAGTACAGATGGGTCACTGCTCTGACGGCTCAGATGGTAAGAAAGGGCGACCAAGAGGCCACAGAAGGCCGAAAACAGTGCCGGGATGTGTTGCATGCTCCACGGTTCCTAAAGAAAAGACATCAGTTAGCCAAGTCACTCCACAGCTGTGTGAATAGCAGGATCTCTATCAGACATTTAGAAATATCCCCAAGGTCCAGCTGGATGGATGAGTTATTCCCATGATTATTCCTGCCCACGGACATATAAGCATCTGGTGGGCACACAAAAAACTCACCTGTTGGTTTATAGACATTGATTTTGATAAGGAACTTTTTGACTAATTATACATACTTATAAGAATAAAACTGAATCTTTCCTGAAATTAAGCTTAGAATGTTCTATAGAATGTAATATTAAACATGTGTCCCTCCTCTGAATTCAATATAATAATTAACAATTATAATAATTGTATTTCTCAATGTTTATTAATTGATGGTCTAAATGGCATAAAAAATGTAAAAATGACATAAGAGATTAAATAGACTAATGAACTGAAAACCTGATAAAGATTGTAGAAAGTAGAAAAGTTCCTCTTCAAAGCTTGTCTTGGTTTAAAAATATAATAATAGACACTAGGAATAATAGCTTCTTACTCTAAAGCCTCCTATCAACTATCAGTTCTTACACTTTAGCCCAGTTAGTTGCTTTGGCTTACTCAAGCATGTCTGGACAGGCCCAGGCAAGTCTTAGCTCATAGCTTATGCCCCTTCCCTATTTGGAAATGTTATTGCTTCCTTAAACCTTTCATGAGCAACTTTCTCTTCTTCTTTGTTCTCCCTTGCACTTACCTGTTTAAGAAAGTGTTAAGCTATTAGCAAATAGGGTATCTGTTTAAGACTGTGAGGTCCAGCTCCAGCCAATGGATGCCAGACACAGCAGTAAGGACGACCCAAATGTGTAAGGGATAAATATGTCTGCTTTTCCTTTGTTCAAGCGTGCTCTCGCCATTGTTCCATCTGCATAGAGCACCCTTTCTGCAGGAAGTAAAAATGGCCTTGCTGAGAGAATTAAATTTATGTTCGAGTGCTATTTCTTTGTGGCACCAGGGAACAAGCATTTCTAACAAAGATTAAAGATAATCACCTGAGGAAAGAGCAAAGTTATTTGAAATGAAAAGAGGCACTTCAGGTTTAATTTGATAGAAGCACAGATGTCAGTTATCAACACATTGTATTCGGCCTGGCAGAGCAGAACATGGGAAATACATGTTACCACCCCAACCAGTGTGGTGGCCTGGGACTCCAGCTCCTCTCCCACACACACCTGGTGCTCCCACCAACACAAACATGTCTCTCATACACCAAGAAGAAAACATCTACATATTTAATCTTCTCAATCACCATCAGCAGAATCACTGATGCCTTCTGAAAGCTGAATTTAGTCAAGAACTTAAATACTTTTCTGTCAAGATTTTTTTTTAAGATGGGTTAATTGTGGTGCTTATAATGAAATCTACAAATGAATGAGTCAAGTGTGCTTAGCAGTTGTCCACTGTAACTGCTAAAATAGTCTGGAAAAGCAAATGATACACTGGATAGAGCAAGTGATTTTATTTTTACATGCTTCATTTTCCTAGAAATTAAAATGTATTTCTTTTATCTTCCCCATTGTGGAAGTCTAAACGCCCGAGAGCAGTACCTGTAAAGCAAATTGCAGGGAGCTGAGTCTTCCTGAGGCTGCTGAGCTGCATGGCTACAAAGTCAGGAAGTAAGACTCACTGCCTCCAGACGCACTCTCCACACAGCTCCCCACACCAGGACGCCCTGCATGCCTCTCAGATCAGCTTCCCCGAGGGTGGGGTGCCTTTTCCAGCACTCTAAGGTACCATGTCTGCATTTATTATTTTTCTAATTCTGTGCAGATGTCTTCCCCACCAATTTTGCTGAAAAGCTCAAACCCAGTGATGAGGCATCCTGCACGGACCTCTTCTTTCTTTGGAGTTTTCATCAGCAACGCCTTCCCTTCCAGTGTCCAAGGGAGAGGTGTACTTCCTCCTTCCCTGAGCCCAACTCTCCCCTCACACTAGGATGTCCTACTTTCTTTTCATTGGTCCCCTCTGCCCCGCCTATAAAAATGCTCAAGTTGCTGACTTTTTTTTTTTTTTTTTTGAGCTGGAGTCACTCTCTATCACCCAGGCTAGAGTGCAGTCATACAATCTCAGCTCACTGCAAACTCCACCTCCCGGGTTCAAGCAATTCTCATACCTCAGCTTCCCAAGTAGCTGGGATTACAGGCACACACCACCACACCCAGCTAATTTTTTATTATAGTAGAGACGGGGTTTCACCATGTTGGTCAGACTGGTTTCGAACTCCTGACCTCAGGTGATCTGCCTGCCTCGGCCTCGCAAAGTGCTGGGATTAAAGGGTGAGCCACCATACCCGGCCAGTTGCTGACATCTTTAACAAATAAAAAAAGTTCTCCTTCCCCTTGATCCAGTTGCCCTTGAAAGCTACTGTACTCTTAGTCTGTTCGGGCTGATATAAGAAAATATCATAGACTGGGTGGCTTATAAACCACAGAAATTTATTTCTCACAGTTCTGGGCACTGAAAGCCCAAGGTCAAGGTGCAGGAAGGAGAAGGTTTGTTGTCTGGGGAGGCCCTGCTTCCTGACTCCTAGATGATGCCTTTTTGTTGTGTTCTCACATGGTAGAAGATGCAAGAGAGCATTCTAGGGCCTCTTTTACAAGGACACTGATCTGATTCATGAGGACTCCTCCCTCAATATCTGTAATCACCTCACAAAGCCCTCGCCTCCAATACCATTACATTGGGGATTAGGTTTCAACATGAATTTTGAGGGACACATTCAGTCTATAGCATACACTATCCCTCTTTTTTATTTCAGTGCCATCTCAGCCTTTCGAAGGTCTGAGCTCCACATTTCACTCCTGGTCATCAGTGAATGACTCAGTAGTCTCTGTCAAGCCGGGTAACTCCCATGAGTGGAGGTCCTACCATGAGCTGTGTGACACTGGCTAAGTTACTAGACATCTCTGACCATTGGGTTCCTCTTCTTTAACAAGGGAAAACAATACCTACTCAATGGTTGTTGTGAGGGTGCTTTTCTGTAACCCAGGTGATTTAAGTTTTTGACATGGGAGGGGTCAATGCAGCCCCCACTTGATGACGGACACCTGAGAGCTGTTTCTTTCCCACCGTCTCAACAGTCTCCTGATCCTTGTGTGCCATCAATACACATTTTCAATGCTGCTCCAATTTGCTTCTTCTTTCCATTGCATCCTGTCTGGTTAAGGCTTCCACTGTCTTGTCCCAGGACTACTGTTAATGCTTCCTAATGGGGACTCACCCTTCAGTATCCACACCCTACCCCACCCCACAGATCCCACACTCTGTCCTTTGTATAGTGACAGAGTGGTTCTCCTCTCCAAAAGGCTAATCGGATCATGTCTGTGCCCTTCACTCAGTATCTTTCAATGATTCCTCATTACCAACCAAATGAAATCTACTCCACAGGCGATGCATAAGCCCACCTTTTCAGCATCCTTCCTCACATTTAGGATATACACAGCAGCAAAACCCGAAAGAGGAATTGCTCCCTGCCCTCCTGCCTTTGCCTACATGGTTCCATCTGCACAGAGGGCTCTTCTGTCCTGACTCCATTCCATTCCATTCCATTCCCCTCTACCTGGTGAACTCCTACCCATGCTTCAGTGCCCAGTATAAGTTCCACCTGCTCAGTGCTGCCTCCTCTGACTTCCCAGGCAGAACAGAATCCTCCTCCTTTGTGCATCAAAATCACCTTTAAACATCTCTAGGGTAGCATTTAAAGTGTCTCTTTTTTTTTCAGGGGCATAGCTGGGCTCTGCCCCTCAGCAGAGAGCACCTGCCCACAGGAGTTGTGCATACACATCTGCTAAGTCACAAGGACAGAGTAGCTCTTCAGCATGTTTCACTGAATTAATGGTGGAAACACTTTCACTATGTTCTTTTATTATGTTTGGTATGAAAACGACCTGCAATAAGACTTGTTAGCTCGAACTCAAAGGCAGCTGGCAACTTTATCCATGTTAGAAAAGACATTCTGGGGCAACCTGATGGCACAATCCCCTTCAAGATGCTACCGGCATCACCATCCCTGAAGCAGCATCTCCTATGTGTGCCCATCCCCCATGACACCTTAGGCACCTCTCACTGAGTCCCACCATTTACTTGTCTGCCTTCACATTAGACACCGGACTCCCCAACAAGGGGCAACCTTACATGTTTCTTTCCCCGGTACCTGGCACAAATGTTAGCACCCTGACATATCCTTGCGAGAATGACTACAAGGTTTGGGCTTTCATAATGACTCATGTGGACAAGAATTTTCAGCAAGAAAAGAAGATGAAGGAATTGAGTAGCTTACATCAAATGTGGATCAGGCAGTGAAATGCTGCGGAAGTGATGAGATTATCAGAGAAAAGGCAATCTCCTGACTATGTGCTTCTCATTATTCCTTCAAACAGTACCCCCAGCAACAGGAAAGTTATTCTGAAACTTGAGTTTTATGCTTTCCTAAGAGTCCACGCATCAAACATTCATTCATTCCTACAATGTGCTGGGTACCCAGAAGCATAACCATGAACAGGACAGAGAGAGTCTTGGAAAGGAAAGACACATGGATAACTGCAGTCAAGTATGACAGATGAGGGGACAATGAGCTGCTCACAGAGCACACGAGGGGCTACACAGCAGGAAGCAGAAGCTCACATGAGTCAAAGGAATGGCATTTAAGTGGATCCCTGCACACAAATGCAGAACGTGGTCCTTCCGCTGCAGGGGCTTCTGGAAGAGCCAAGCAGGGCAGATAGGGCTGGCTCTTCCATCCTTACATTGACTTCACCCTGCTCTGTCCATCCACCTAGGGCTTCTCTTATTTCATTTCATACTTGACCATTACACAATAAACACAAAACGTTTTCCAAAGAAGAAGAACCTGCTAACTTCTATTTCTTGTCATTGATTCATCTGCACTAACCAGTGCTGTGTATTTAATTCATGATTTTGTGAAGGTGGAACCTTTTCTCTCACATGTAGCCCATACATAGGAAGACCCTGGAAGAAATTCCTATGAGAAATGAGTAACTAAGACCCTAGAAATAATTCTCATGACATGGATCAGAGAAAAGGTCAAGGGAACAAGTGTTGGCAGAAGTTGGTTCCAGGCTCACTCATCGTTGAAATGAATTGTTCTGTGGAAGGCACTTAATTTCTCGGTGGTTCAGCTTCCTATTCTGTAAAAAGGGGATGACGACACCTTTCTTAATGAGATTTAAAACAGCCTTGTCCCCAGCAAAGTTGAATGTCAGTGTTAGTTTTTCATTAATTGGAAAAGAAGGGGTACCCATGATGGATGGTCTTTGCTGACAATAAATTAAGTCCAGGCTCCAAATATATTTTGATAATTGAGTTTACCTACTTTTATTCCCTCAATACTCCTTGCCTAAATCTCCTCTCATTTTCTCTCTACTTCGATATTTAATCAAACATTTCCAACAAAAACACCAAGGACAGCTGTTACACTCCTGGTTTCTGTCCTATATTAGTAGAAGTCTGTATTCATTCTTCCATTACATATGATTTCTTTTAAGGATAACTAATAGCTTTGGGGTAAATTGTTGAACAGGAGTAAATGGCAATGTGGCCACAGGGGCAGGAAGAAGGATGTTTATGTCCTTCAACAAGAAAAAGCAAAGTTATGCCAGCGGGGCACACTTATTCTTCCAAGAAAAGGGTGGGATACAAGGTGTTAAGGAGTCCATATTCCAGGTGCTAATTTTCATGTTTACTTGCCCAACCTCACACTTCCACACAACTCTTTCTCAGAAAAAAAAAACTGACCTTCCCTGAGTTTTGACACATGGTAACAAAGCAAACCACCTGGATCTTCTGAGGCTCTCTCCTGGAAACACCCTCATTCTCCAGGTTACCTGTTCACTTTTTCAACTAATGCAGATGTATACATACATAAACACACACACACACACACACACACACACACACACACACACACACACATCCCTCAGATTGGAGGTTGATTTCTCAAGGAAACAAGGACAAGAGAGATTACTTGATTATCAACATCATGGGTTATCCCTTCATATGCAGACTGCCATTTTCCAAAACCCACTATCTTCAAGAAAGATTACCTTTAGAGTTGGAAGGAACTTCATAACTGAGATGGTCTCATCTCAAGTTATTGATCAAGCAAGGAGACAGGAAGAAAGAGACTTGCCCAAGGTGGTAAGACCAGTACCAGCCTCCACAGCCCTGAATTCAGTGCTCCATGTACCCCACCACCTTAAACGTGTATATAGCTAACTGTGAAAAATATGTAGACATCTCACCACTTTTCATTTAAAAAAAAAGGTTAGGATGTTTTAATAATCACTGTAACTTACAAGTTCCCAGCATTACAGGCTGTTTCATCTATTTATGCATCCATCCACACAACAGTGTTTGGAAACCTATTGAGCTACCTGCCTATTTCAGTGCTTGTTGCCTATTTCAGGGCTTGTTGAAACACATGTAGAGCAACGGCTCAGAGGAAGAAGGGATCAATTTTATAAAGATTTAAAATTTACAAATGTATATCTAAAGATATAAAGATTTTGGAAAGAGATAAAGTTTTAAATGGTCTGTTGCCCACAGATAATGAAGCATTTATCATGTGACAGTTTGCTTCAAAATTAACATCTCTAATTGCTCTGAGACACATCTCATGGGCCTCAAAATTGGGAATGATAAGGATTGATGAGTGCTGGTTTCATAAAACTCCCACAGGTTTTGAAATATTTTTATGAGGTAGTAATAAAACTGTCTAATAGTCCTACAATTCTGTGGTAGATTTCACATGCATTTGGGAATTATCTGACGAGAATGCATAGGGCAGTCCGGCTTTGTACAAAAAAGCACACTCTGAACACAGTCTGAATTCCAGCATTTTTCTCCTTAGAAGTTTTAGACACCTCTTATGTTGGAATTTATGGGACAGACTAACTGAGTGTTTGATTATAAAGTGAATATCAACAGGCCGAATTCTTGCTTTGCTATGCCTTTCATATCAGGTTTAAATACTTTCTTTTTAAAGAAACTGATTTTTTTATCGCATTAAACATAGGGACATTTTTGAGATTGAGGTTTTATACATCCTAAAATAAGAACGAGATTGTACCATTTTGACTCTGTATAAGTCCTATTTCTAGGTCTATTTTTGACATGAATCCCATCTTTAAGTAAAAGGAGCGCTGGGCCCATAAAGTTCCCGAAATTTAGTAGGGAAAGATGTGTCACCCAGTCCCTGAACTGTGCTCTCTCTTCTTACTTCACACACGGCCTGCGGAGTGTCATGTGGCCGGCACGTGTGGGTGTGCAATGGATACCTTCTAGGCTCTGGCATCCCCGAACCCCTAGAGTGCACCCCTGTAGCAGCTCTTGTCCATATTCCTCATGGACCTTGAACACCCCAGAAGGGGCTCCCCCAGTGCCTCACACTGACCCTAAATTATAGGTCAATATGTGTCCCGCAAATAAATGAACAATTATGTGAACACATATGGCAAGTCAGACTTCACTATCTGCTAAGAGTAGATTCTTCTTATTTCATACTGTTTTCTTCATTTTGGTGAAAAACATGATATGTTTATGAATCAAGACAGTATTTCACTTTTAGAGATAGGTACTGAAGAAAAATGAGATAGTTAGCTGGCAAGACAGAATAACGGGTCCCACGTATCCAAGTCTATCTATAGCTACATGGATAAATACATAGAAATGCACACACACACACACACACAAATACGTGTACTTCAGGGAAAACATTAACATTTACTTTCCTTCTCATTGCCCTTTTGCAAGTTATCTGTAATTATTCAATCCAAGATTTTTGTAGCACACCTTTTATGTGACACACTAATAGGACATAAAAAGCAGCATATATAAACCACAGTCTGTGACTTCAAGGAGCAATGAAAAGTGTGCACAAGCAAGAAGAAACACAGCAACAGCTCCCATGCATTCGGCAGCGACTACCTGACTTGCTGCTTAACATTCACGACCACACGTAGTTTTTAAAACACATCGAAGGTAAAAGTATTGCCCATTTTACAATGAGGAAACAGGCTTTTACTAGTTATTGTGGTAAGTATCTATATTTTTCACATAGAATTGATTACATACAGAAAAAAACAAGGATTGAATGAACATCAGTAGGACAATGTTGTCCTCAGGATTCTGGAAGAGAGAAGATAAACTTTGGCTGGTGTCACTGAAACAAGTTTTGTCTTCCATCACTACTAGGGTCACAACAGCTCAAATTCTGGGCCTAGAATGCTGTTTTCCACCTACCCTCTCCTCTCTGTATCCCTCACTCCCCATCAGTCACTACATTTCTGGATTTGATCCCAGCATGCTCTCGGGGCTTACTACCAAAACCCCCAAGTCCAAATCTTACTTCACTCAACAATTGCAATTCCATTTTGAACAACTTCTGAGCTATCAATCAATATTCTTCCTGTTTTTTCCCCAAATCAGTGTCAGCTGACACCATCAAGCTTGAGGGTCATAATAATCCAGCAGTAACTAGGTTTGAGGGTCAATTCTACTTTTTTGCTGACCAGGAAGGGAAGCATGGCAGAAAGCACGAGCTGGCTGGCTGAGATCGGTTTCCCCTTCATCCTCAGCAGCAGATACTTCCTTGCAATTTGTTCAGACAGCCAAAAGACTTATTATTCCTGGTCTCTTGCAGCTAGAAATGATACAATTCTAGCCATAAAATATAATGTGAAGTCTGATATAAGTAAAAGTGAGTTAAAACTTAGGTTTTACTTTCAAATTTATTACTATTAGCATTATTAACATTGTGGTTACAGTCATCATAACCACCAACTATTTATGCTAAGAATAGTTATCGTTGGTATTAGCTTTCTATTGCCGTGTAACAAATTACCACAAACTTAGCAGTTTAAAATAACACAAATGTATGATCTCACAGTTTCCTAGGTCAGGTGCTTGAGCAGAGTGTGGCTGCGTCCTCTGCCCAGGGTCTCCTAGACTGAAATGTCAGTGTTGGCTGGACCTCTGATCTTATCTCACACTCGGGGTCCTCTTCCATGCTCACTGGTGGTAGGCAGAGCTCAGCTCCCCCTGGCTGTCGGATTGCAGTCCCCATTTCCTGGATGGCTGTCCACTGGGACCTGTTCTAGCTCCTAGAGGCCTTTGCTCTGGGTCTTTGCCATGTTGCTACCTCCATCAGCAGTTAATAACCTGGCCGTTTACTTCTTCTAGGCCAGTAAGGGAGGGTCTCTACTGCTTTTTCTGTCCCTGCCCTCTGGACCCCCTTTTAAAGGGCTCTTCTGATTAGGTCAGACCCATTCAGAATAATCTCCCTTTTTAGGTCAGACCCACTCAGAGTAATCTCCATTTTTTTGAGACGGAGTCTTGCTCTGTCACCCAGGCTGGAGTGCAGTGGTGTGATCTCGGCTCACTGCAACCTCTGCCTCCTGGGTTCAAGTGATTCTCCTGCCTCAACCTCCCAAGTAGCTGGGATTACAGGTGCACGCCACCATGCCCAACTAATTTTTGTATTTTTAGTAGAGATGGGGTTTCACCATGTTGGTCAGGCTGGTCTCAAACTCCTGACCTCATGATCCACCCTCCTCAGCCTCCCAAAGTGGTGGGATTACAGGCATGAGCCACCGCACCGGGCAATCTCCCTTTTAAGTTAAATTTTAATTTAAGTTAAAGTTACCTGATTAGGGACCATAACTACATCTGCGAAATCCCTTCAAGTTTGCCAGATAATGTAACTTCATCACAGGAGTGACATCCCATCCCCTTCACAGGTCCTGCCCACATTCAAGGGGAGGAAATTGTACAAGGCATGTATGCCAGGGGATAGGAGTCTCAGGCCATCTTAGAATTCAGCCTCCCACACCACTTAACAGGAACTTTTAGCCAGGCACTTTATAGACATTATTGATTTGATTCTATTTGCTTCTTAAAACATCCACATGCGGTAGGTACTACTAATCCATTTTACAATGGAAAAAACAATGTGAATTAGTCATGCACCCTTAGGCAAGTAAGCATTCTGTGTTTCAGGTTCACCACTGGAAAACAGGAATGTTGATATCTTCCTTATCGATTACATGGAGATATAGTAAGGGGCAAATGAGAAGACACTTCAGAAATTATTTTGTAGGTTAAAGAACCATTGATCTGCAACTGTCTTATATGCTGTGAACTGTTCTTTCAACAAGACAAATATATTTATACTTCAAGTGTGGTAGTGAGGATGGCACAAAAGGAAGACTGAAAAGACACAGATCTGGGACGTGGGGTGTGTGATGCGGAGTAAATTACTTAATCTCTCTTTGGATGTTCACTTCCTCATTTTAAATAATAAAATGAAGGAATTGCACTAGGAGGCATCTCAGGTCCACTTCAGCATTAAATAATATCTAGAACTATGAGTTTGTTTTACATTTACAATTAGATTTTAAACCCTGAGTGCCTGTAAAGTAGCATGATGTTAGGCTGCAATCCTGTGGGACCCAGAAGAAATACAGGAAAAGCTCCCCCGCAAGCAGTTGTTAAGGATACGTGGGAAACATTAAATTATAATAATGTGCTTCAACCTCTGGATCCCCTTGCCATTAATAAAAAAGAAATCTCTTTGTAAAGGATAATAAAAAATAGAAATCATAGTTTATCCAGACACAGAAAGCCCAGTTAATTAACTACTGAGCTATTTCTCCGAGGAGCAAATATTCTGGTTGTTTCTGTAGATCACTGTCAAATACTATTTAAGTCAATGAGGGAGTCCATTTATATGTTACTTGGTACCATCTTGGACGAGTCAAAGAGAATATGAAATTAAAAGAGGAATCAAATTTTCTTTCCCTAATTAATATTCCAGAGGACAAAATTAACTCATGGTCTCTGAATCTGCTTCTACCAAGTGATAATAATAAAAATTAAGGAAATAAACACATATATCATGACCCATATGGAAAACTGTATTGCTAGCAAGGCAGCTGACATGCTGAAACGGTTCACAAGGATCCATCAATCCATCATGATGCACTAGAGATGAAAGGAAAAAAAAATCAATTCCAGCAATGCAAAGAGTAAGCATAAAAGGCATAAACAAAAGCATCGTTAAACAAGAAGTAGAATCACGGCTCTGGGTAAGTGGGAGTTTGATTGAAGATGGGTGAGCTTTTCTTGTTTCCTAAGGACCCTCTTGACAATTTGCTAACCACATTCATTCAATTCACAGCATTTAATAGGTGCTGCATCTTCAAGTGGAGAGTCAGTCTGAGACTATTAGAAAACTCAGGACGTACAAAGGAGAAGGAAGAAATTCAAATTGCTCTATTTTTAACAAAAGGTGCTTCAAAATACGGTTAGAACATTAAGGTTTGTTTGTTTGTTTTTGGTTTTTTTACTACAGACTATAGTATTTATTGCAAATGATCGTTGTTCTATGCTGAGAAAGGGAAGTCAATACCTCCCTGAGATGAAATAAACCTTCCCAAAGCACCCCAGTTTCAACTGGTCAAAGCCTGTTTCAACACCTAAGTAAACCCCAGAGTTCTTGAAGTGTTTCTTTCCATCACAGAGTTAACGGCGTGCTTTCAAAATGGAATCTATTTACTCTGATCCAACAATGATTTACACCTATAACAAGCCATAAACTGAATAGAAAACAGAAATAAAAGTCTCAGCCCAGGATAGAGAATAGAGTTTATCTCTTGGGCTGGCTCTGATCAGTTGGCACTGGCTGACTGTAATATCTCCTGGGCAGCCCGAGGTACTACTGACCTCAGTTAGAAAAAAATGCTGTGATCAATTAGCAATGTCTGACATGAAAATGGAGCCACATTTGGGGAGGTGAGGGAATAACAGTATCTGTCCAGCAACTAGGTAAAAACCCAAGATACTCTATTTTTTGAATACCAGATTCTTCAGTAGTTTCTAAAACCCTTTAAGAATTTTGCAAGAAAAAGTTGTGTAACAATCCATGAATGCACATTACTTTTGAGAGTATCTGAACTGATAATTATGGGCGTTCAGCATTTGTCAAATGCATGTTGAGTTCCTGAGGAGAAAGGAATGTCTTTTCCTCCTCCCATATCTTTACAGTACCCAGCAGAGCTATTGCTGAACAAATAAATATGTGTCGACTATCACAGAATACGAACGTTTCAACTTCTGCATCAGTTACAGAGAGCATGCATGTTTCCGTTTCCATTAATCAAGTACAATGATATTTACATCAGATGCTGTTTGCTATTCAGGGTTGCCACAAAGGGTAAAGTGTGGGGTCCCAGTCCAAATGGCATCAAGAACATCAAGAACAAGATCTCCCTCTCCCTAGAGCTCATTAAGTGTCCAATAAAATATTCAAAAAGAGAAAAGCCTGAAACCACACTGGGAACCAGAGCAAGTTACTCGTGCACAAGTCATAGACCCTGAGGAATTTATGCCAGACCTTATATTATAGATGGGTCTAGACTGAAAGAAGATTGTAAGGCTGACTCCAACTCCTCTCTCCATTTGAAAGACAGTAGTGCACTGAGGAAGTAAACAGGAAAAGACCTCTGCTAACATCACCTAAATGAGAGGCAGAAGGGCTGGAAGTGAGTATAGACCAAGGGGTTAGCAGACATTTTACCACTTGGCCTTGCACGTCTGTGGATGGGCAGTCTGCAGCAACTCCTGCTGTCGTAGAGGCGGCAGCATTTATTCATTCAGGTCATGGATGTAGAAGTTAGAGCCAAGAGGGTAAAACAGAGATAACCACTGTCCCAGGCATTTCTTCATATCTACTGCCTGTGATGAGCTTCCTGATATAACTACCCCAAACTCCATCAATAAGACATTTTCCCTGGGAAAAATCATCTCTGAACTAGTAGTGTATTACTGAAACATGTTTTGTTTCATTTTCCTCTCTTCCTGTGTTTCAGACATGAGGTACCTCTGAAAAGATCTGACCAAGGAGTCTTACAATTCCCTAACAGAAACCAGTTCAATTCTTTCTTGACTATAAGACAAAAGTCATAAAATCTAACATCAATGTGGGCAGCCAAGTGACATATATACATTATGTGGCTCAGGCATAAAAAATGATAGGACATGATGAGACCTGTGAGTTTGCGGTAGCTGTGAGTTACTATTCAGTGTCAGCAGGTTGTTACCAAATGGGAAGGTCAGCCCAGTGTTGCCGGATCTTCACATTGTTTAAGAGAAGTAGGAGAATCATATTTTTACACTGACTGTCCTAATATTAAATCTTGGCTCGAAAAAAATTTTAAACATTCTACAGGCCAAACACAAAACAGGTCTATGAACTGAACAGAGACGATGCTAGGTTATCAAAGACATATTCTCACTGCGAAATGAGGAAAAACAGCACATGACAAACAAAAAGCATTCTTAAAATGAGATATTTCTCTAAAGGGACCACTTACAGAAGCTTTCTAAAGCACATTTACATCAAAAAAAAAGAAATTTTTAGAAAATATCTGATTTAAAGTCTCAACTTTAAAGCTAAGCAAGCAATTATGAAGGTCGAATAATATGAATGCCAAATTTCAAACTGCAATTTATCAGTAGACCAAACAGCAAACAATGCAGAAAATAAAATTTATAACTGTAAAATTAGGATAATAGTACTTGTCTCAGTTATGCTATGTGAAGTAAATTATATAAAATATATATAATAGTGCAAAAGAATTCTAGAGATCTGCTGTATAACATTATGCCTGCAGATAACAATACTGAATTGCACACAAAAAGTTAAAAGGATAGATTTCATGTTAAGAGTTCTTACTGTAACAATAAATACATTTTAATTTGCATTTATTATTTAGACTTATATATTATATATAATTATATATTATTTTAATATATTTCAATAATATATAAAATTTATATATTATTATAATTTATCAAATTATTTTACATAATTTATATTTTATAAATTATATTTTATAACTAGTATATATATAAACTAGTATAATTCCTAGTACACAATAACTTCTCAATAAATATTTGTTGATTTCTTCATTCTTGAAATGAGAAACTCTAGAACTGTACCAGAACTCAAAGGAAAACTATAAGGAGAGGAAAATGATGAAAAAGAAATGAGAGACATGAAAGACAGCCAAAAGTTAAAGTCTGTGAAAAATTAAATCATATTATGTGAACAGAATCAACAATGTCATTAATCAAAACATAACAGGGAAACTTTTCCTCTAGATAAAGTTTTCAATATGAAAAGTGAAAATGGGCATGGTGCTCCAGAAAACTTAAGAGAACCACGCCTAATCATAGTCCACTAACTTCTTTTAAACTTCAGACTGTAGGAAAGAATTCTACAAAAATTCAACAAAGAAATTTTAGCCCTATTGTTTTTATCTTCAAAACTAAACACTGACAAGTGATGCCAATTCAGATGTAGAAATCCACAAGTGTCCTGCTCACAGCCTGACAACAAGAAAAAGCCAGATAATTTACAAAAATCTCAACTTTAAAATGACTATGATTAATATGTTGAAGAATCTAGTGACAGAAATGGACATCATTCATGTGCAGATGGGTAATTTCGAAAGAAAAATGAAAACTATCTACAGACATCAAATAGAAATGTTGGTTCTTTCGTGAGTTTATCATCGGACTAGACACAGCAGGAGAAAGAACTGGTGAACTTCAAGATAGGTCAGTAAAATTATTAAAACTAAAACCCAAAGAAGGAAAAAAGAGTGGAAAAAAAGACTATAGCATACAAATGATGTGGGGCAATATTAAATGATCTAACATGTATATAATTGGAGGCCCAAGAAGAAAAGAAAAACAGAACAAGGCAGAAGACATATTTGAAATGAGAATGGCTAAAGATTTTCCAAAACAACTCACAAATCAAACAGTTCAGAGAATCCTAAGTAAAATAAAAAAAAAAAACGCCATACACTTAGTCACAGCATTGTCAAATGGCTGAAAACAAAGACAGAGAAAATCTTAAAGGCAGTCAGAGAAAAAAGAAACGTTACTAACAGAGAAACAAATATTGGAATAACGGCAGATTTTTTTATCAGAAATTATACAAGACAAAAGAAAACAGAACATGTTGAAAGTACCAGGGGAAAAAAGCTTTTAAGCAGAATTCTGTACCAGTGAAGATATCCTTCAAAAGTGAAGGCAAAATGAGATGTGTTTCAGACAAAGGCTGAAAGTTTATGACTAGCAGACCTGCACCATGAGATTTCCTAAAGAAAGTTCTTCAGACAGGAGAAATATGATGGCAAGCAGAAAGATGAATCTACACAAAGAAATGTACATTGCAGAAATTATTTTTTAAAATAACGTAAAGGAAATATAATTTTAAAGATTTTTAAATATCTTTATGAGATAATTGACCACTTAGAGTATAAAAGAATACATCTCATCTAAGAGATCAATAAAACCAAATATTACTATATAAAAAAGTTCAGTAAGAACATAAGCTATTTTATGTGAGCTCTTTTATAATATAAAAGGAAACACTTTCCAACTCATTTTATCAAGCCATTACATAATGTCAAAACAAGACAAAGCATTACAAGAAAAGAAAAGTTAGGCTGGGGGCGGTGGCTCACACCTGCAATCCCAGCACTTTGGGAGGCCGAGGCAGGCGGATCACGAGGTCAGGAGATTGAGATCATCCTAGCTAACATGGTGAAACCCCATCTCTACTAAAAAATACAAAAAATTAACTGGGCGTGGTGGTGGGCTCCTGTAGTCCCAGCTACTGGGGAGGCTGAGGCAGGAGAATGGCGTGAACCCAGGAGGTGGAGCTTGCAGTGAGCCAAGATCACGCTGCCGCACTCCAGCCTGGGTAACAGAGTGAGATTCCATCTCAAAAAAAAAAAAAAAAAAATTAGAGAACTAGAAACTTCATAGACATCAAATTTCTCAACAAAATATTGGTAAATAATATTGAGCAATATATTTAAAAAGGCAATATGGCATGACCAAATGGGGCCCATCCTTTAAATGGAATGTTGGTTCTACACTGAACAATTTATGTAATTCTTCCTAACAATTGCTTTAAAAAAAATCAATATGGTCTTCTCAATAGATGCAGAAAAAAAGTGACAAAATTTAACATCATTTATGATGATAACTCTCAGCAAATTAGAAATCTAAGGGAAATGACTCAGCCCAATAAAGGGCATCTGGAAAATTTCCATAGCTAACTTCATACTTAATGGTGAAAGACTTTTCCCCTAAACTTGGGAGCAAGGCAAAGATGTCTGATTTCAGCACTTTGTCAACATTGCTCTGGAGGTCCTAGCCACTGCAATAAAGCAAGAAAAAGAAATCAAAGGCATACAGGCTGGAAAGGAAAATAAAATTGTGTTTATTGATAGACATGACAATCTATGGTAGACAATCTTAAAGAAATTACTAAAATACTACCAGAACTAATACATTTGTTTAGCAAGCTTGCAAGATAAAGGCTGAAATATTACAAAATAAATTGTATTTAGTATTACTTAACAATTGAAAATTTAAATTATAAAACACAATGCCATTTAAAATAACATATAATGCACAAAAAGGTGCAATAGTTTCAGGTTGAAAGATACAAAATACTCCTGACCTGAGAACGAAGTAACAAAGACTGTGGTATATGGAACAATATACCATGTTCATGGATCAAAAAGTTACAGTTAAGATGTCAGTTCTCCCCAAATTGATCTACAAATTCATCATAATCCCAACGAAAATTTTTGCAAATTTTGGTAGGAATTGTCAAACACAGTGTAAAACTTACTTTTGAAGAAATATGACCTTTAATAGCAAAAACAATTTTGAAAAAGAAGAATAAAATTGGGAGACACACTATCTGATTTCAAAGCATATTATATAGCTGCAGTAATAAAAACAATGTAATACTAACATAAAGAAAGGCATGCAGAACAATGAAATGATTAATTTTTGGTTCTAAACGTTCCATGATAATTCAACGGAGAAAGGTTAGTGTTTTCAACAAATGGTACTAGTAAATCTCAACCTTCACCTCATGTCATACACAAAAATCATCTCAAAAGAGATTTCAAATCTAAATATAAGTATATTCAAATCAAATCTAAATATAATACAACTATAAAACTTGTAGTACAAAAATATTTGTGACTTAGGGTTAAGTAAATGTTTTCTAGGTAAGACATAAAAAAAACCCATAAAATAAATATTAGATAAATTGGACTTCATTGTAACTAAAAACTTCTGCTTTTCAAAATATACTGTTAAAAAAATGAGAAGACAAGCCACAGCCTGAAAAAAAAAATGTGTGTAGCATATATCTGTTAAAGGACTTGTATCTAGATTATGTAAAGAACTCTTATGTCTCAATAATATGGCATACATATAATTTTTAAATGGACAAAAGACAAGCAAATTTTTCATCAATGAAGTTATACAAATGTGAAACATACAGAAAGATGTTCAACACTATTCATTATTGGAGAAATGCAAATTAAAACCACAATCAGATACTGGTTCACACGAGAATGGATTTAAGAAAAACCTGACAGTACTAACTGTCAGCAAGAACCTAGAACACTTGGAAATCAAAGATTATGTGAGGGTAGGGAAAAGAAAAATGGTATAGAAACTGGACAACAGTTTGGCAATTTCTTATAAAGTTAAATAAAAACTTACCATGTGATCTAGCAATCTCACTCAGGTATTCACTTAGGATAAATAAAAACATTGTGTGGAGAGGGGACTGACTGCAAGTGAACATGAAAACATACTTCTGGATGGGGGAACAGTTTGTGTCATGATTGTGATGGTGGTAACTTGTCTACACACAGTTGTCAAAATACATCTAACTGTACACTTGAAATTAGTGGATTTTATTGTATATACATCATGCCCTGACAGATTTGATTCCAAAGAAGCTTCAAAGACAGAAATCTGATGAATGGTGGCCAGAGGCTGGAGATAGGGGAAGAGACTGACTACAAGGAATTCAAGAACATTTTTTGAGTTGGTGAAAATGCTCTCATAACTTGATTGTAGGATTATTTATTTATTTATTAAAACTAACCAAACTGGACATTTTCAAAAGCTGAACTTTAAACCTGACTTTTAAAAATTAATGAACAAGCAAACAAATAATTCCAGAACACAACAGAGCAATATACTAAGGTGCCTGCAGAAAAACACCTGTGACCCCAGAGTTGTATAGGCAGCCATTTTACCAAAAGACAGTGGAAAGATGTTCTCAGAAGTACAAGGACTCAGAAAATACTCATCCAAGTACTTTTCCTAAATGAAGTATACCTGGGATCCTATGATTAAATAAAGGAACATAAGTCAAAAGAAAGAACACCGGAAACACTGTTTAGATAATTGTTGGTCTACATGACAGGATAAATGTGGTAACAAACGGGCCACTACAAGCACATAAATTACCTTTGTATATTAGATACAGAAACCTTCCTCCCAGGCCCCTCCCCTTTTTTTCTGAAAGAAAATATCTATATGATAGGAATAGAAGTAATGGAGTAATCAATAATTACTCCATGGATTACTGTGAAATATTGAGAGAGAAAAATGTTGAATTCATTCTCTTTCACAAAGGGAAATAAACAATTATCTTTCTGCCACTGACATTGATCAGTTTAATATGATTTAAGTTAATCTTTTTAAAAAGTGAGTTAAGAAATGTTACGTGATTTATATTAAAAACACTTTGGAACATATATTATTTTTATTTACTCTTTTACATTTAATTTTTGTTTTATCAAAGGAGTACCTGTGGTTTAAACTGTTAAACCGTAAGTCCAGAAATATGTATAATATTAATTTATTTGTTACTGACTGAAGATGCCCCTGAGGACATTATGTATACTGTTATATTTAGACTTAATGGCCACTCTACAGCTCTACAACACTGAAAACAAACAGTAGTGGTCTCCCCACCTACACAAACCCCTGCCCTAATTCCTGCTTCCTGAAGGCAATGACTCAGCTATTTCTTCTCCATATTTACTTCCATATTTTCAAATAAAATACTTGCTGTGCTATTTCTTGATTTTTATTTTCAATTTTAGATGTTATTTGCTGATTTTCTAATATGGAAGACAGGATTTGGAACTCCTCCATCACACTTCACCTCCCCCATTCTTCTATTAGCGATATAACATGATGATTACTCAGATTACTATATAAATATGGTTCACAGCTGAGCCAGGTACCTACAATAGATACGTTTCTTGCCTGACACAACTTTGTGTTTTCTGAAGTTCGTGTTTATCTTGTTTTCTCATCATCTTAGGCTTCCCTTGCTGCCAGGTTAGGTTTGCATTTTCCCCTTCTGGGTAAGTCTATAGTCCCTCTGTTTTCTAGATTCTAACATTTTGTGGCTGTCATATCCTCTTCTGTCCTCTTGTCTATCTAGCTTTAAGCAATTGTATTCCTTTATTGTCTTTTGAGTGGTATTTCAGGAAGTGAAGGCAGACACATGGGTTCCATTGACCAACATGTTAAGCAGCAGCCCCTCCCACTGTCACTAACCGATCTTAGCAGAGAGACATCTGCAGAGGGGAGGCCAGGCCAGGAGGTGGGGGGCCTTTCACATTAGGGCCAACCAGGCATCCTGACCTGTCTTCTAACACTACTGAGGCCTCACTCAGCCACACAGTCACTCCCTGATTTGCACAGATCCGATTTCTCTTGTAATTTTGGAAAAAACATTCATTTGTTTAAAAAAATAAGTTAATTTAATGAATCGAGAAGGATGAGGGCCCATGGTCCTCACACCTACCTTCACTGCACTGAAGCAGACTGCGTGGAGCAGGGCGGCAGCCAAGACGCTCCGGGCCACACTGTAAACAGCCGAGGTTATCCCAGACACAGCTGGAACACAAACATCAACAGTTCTTTTCTAGACCCGCCATTCTTAAAATCAACAAATGTAAAACAGTGAAGAGATGGTTGCACATTCGCATACAAGATGCCTGCTGAAGGGGTAAATAATACATCTATGGGATCCATCAAAAGGCACTGGGTGACTCACAGGTGCAAGAAAGAGACTACCATTAACTAAAAATTCAAGAGGAAAGTACTCAGAAAGAATGCTTTACAATGTTCTTAAAAGACCATGTGAATGTGTCAGAATGAAGGTAGGGAGACCTCATGGCTTACAGTTGAAAGCTGGTGGTCAAGGAAAAGGTCCTAGATAGCAATTCAATAGAATAAATGGGAAGGAGAAGGAGGGAGAAGGCAGGAGGAGAGAGGAGACGGGAAAGGGAATAAGCAAGTGTCCCTATGTAGTGTATGTGTGTGTGTGTGTGTACGTGTATGTGTTATGGGGGTGGTAACAGTGATTGCATTATGCACATGATTTCATTTACTCTTTATAGCAACCCTATGAGGTTATGATGTTTATTTCCATTTAGAGAAGAGAAGAGTAGGCTGAAAAGTTAAGCAATTTATGTCACGTCGTGAGATTATATCCACCTTGGTCTGAATCTAAAGTATGACATTAAAAGGGTCACAGTGATGGTTTAGGGACACAGATCACCTGTCTCTATAGGTACACACACAATACACAGCACAGTGTCAACCCACAGGCTCACCACATTGATGCACTCCCAGACTTGAGCATGTGTGTGCTCAAATACACACACACACACACACACACACACTTATATCCACTCACACATGCTCACACACATTCACACACGGAGTGTTTTTTTAGGGAATAGTTTGAAGGGCCTCAAACCTATTCCAAATCACAGAGAATTCTACCCTTCCTTGTCTCTGTGCTTACGCTCAACCAAGCTAAGTGGACCTCTTCCAATTTGGCTACAGGAAATCTGGACAGGCCCATCATCACCCAGACTGATCCAAACTGAAGTCATTTAAATGCTCAGGACAAAGAAAACCTAACTAGCCTCTCATCTCCTGCCTAAGGCTATTTAGTCCTTATCTGAACTCTGAATTCCTTTACAGGAAGAATAGAATGTAAACGACTTACCAGAACCACCAAAAAACAGCATGTCAATTTGCTCCAAAAGATAAGTGCAGAAAGTGTTGATTTGCGGGAAGAGCCCAAGGAGGGAAATAGCAGGGAAGCAATATAAAAATACTGAAAATGAACAAACAAAATTGACGATAAGCATGGGGAACTGTGTTGCCAAGGCTCCTGCTGCAGTGCTGTCTCTCTCCCCTTCCAAACCACCCCACCCAGGAATACTGGAGGCAATCTTTTTTTTTTTTTTTTTTTTTTTTGAGATGGAGTCTCGCTCTGTCGCCCAGGCTGGAGTGCAGTGGCGCGATCTCGGCTCACTGCAACCTCCATGGAAGCAATCTTAGACTCCTCTCACCCGGAGGAAACTGGAGGCTGAGACGGAAATGTGTCTGTGGATACAAGGAGCTGATCCTGAGAAAGAAGTACTGATGAAAGGAACGCACACAAGGCCAGGACTGAGCAAAGACTTCAGGGGTGGTGAGTCAGAGTAGAATCATCTTCAGTTTGAAAGAGTAGACTTGGACATGGGGGAGATGAGGGCAAGAGAAAGGAAACTGGGAAAACTACAGGAACATAAAAAAAACACAGGACAGGACAGGCACGGTGGCTCACACCTGTAATTCCAGCACTTTGGGAGGCCGAGGTGGGCGGATCACCTGAGGTCAGGAGTTTGAGACCAGCCTGGCCAACATGGCGAAACCCCACCTTTACTAAAAAAAAATACAAAAATTAGCTGGGCGTGGTGGCGGGCGCCTGTAGTCCCAGCTACTCGGGAGGCTGAGGCAGGAGAATGGCGTGAACCCGGGAGGCGGAGCTTGCAGTGAGCCGAGATTGCACCACTGCACTCCAGCCTGGGCGACAGAGCAAGACTCCGTCTCAAAAAAAAAAAAAAAAAAAAAAAGTTGGTATACCTATGTAATGAACCTGCATGTTCTGCACATGGATCCCAGAACTTAAAGTATTAAAAAAAAAAAAAAAAAAAAGTTGGTTAAAATTCACTATGGAACAAAGTACTGAGGAACTGTTCCAAGTCTTTGTGAAAGTAAAATTTTATGTCATGAACATGGCTATCTATAATAATAGGGGCTGTGGTTGGTGTTGGAGCCATGTTTTGATACAGGTGGTGATTTTGTTGTGATAATTTTTGTGCCAAGATTTCAACTATATTGTAAAAAAGTAGAGCATCTGAAAGCAGTTTATTTCTCAACCAAAGCAGACAAAAAGGCACAAATACTGATATGCTATACGTAACTATATAAGACATCATTTCTTTTTCAGTTTCTATCAATAGAAAGGAGAGATACAAGAAATAAATAGAAATTTAATTACAGAACATATAGTCATGAGCATAGAAATTTTAATCCACAAAATTCCATAAAATTTCAAACAAACTGAGAAGAGCTTCTCTTTACTTTGGGGTCAAAACCCAGCAATAACAATTTTGTGCTATGCTATATCTGCCAATTCCGGATCAGGGCAGAGGGAAGGTCCAATGAGATTTATTAATTGCCTTTCCAAATGCTGTATGTGTATGTGACAAAAACTACTCTGAGAATGAAGAACCACAGGGAAAAGTCTAGGTATGGAATGATATGAAAGGCAAAGCCAGATATTGGGAGCTATTTGGTAAATCAAGGATAAAGAGATATTCTGTATAAGAAATACATTAGCCAGTGCAACAAAACCCAAAGAAATGGAAAGAATTGGAACACAATGAAAAATGGCATGAGGAAGATAAAATGGTAAGAAATACCAGAAAGTCATCCCTGGAGATGCTCTGGCTGTGGGTGTAGAATTGGAACTTAATGAAACAATACAGGAAGAACAGCAGTCAACAAGGAGGTCCATGCACTAGATCCTCTCCAAAACATCCTGGAGGAGGAAAGCTCTAGTCTTTAAAATAAATGTCGTGGAGGTGGAATGGGAGGAAGAGGGAGTCCATGTGTCTCATCTGTCAGGTTGCAGTGAACGTGAAGGAAAAAGCAGCCAAATGCTTGTTATGTTACCAGGACTTCAGGAAAATGACACTTGAAATTGCTGAAATTATTTTGTCCTTTTTTTTTTCAGAAGTAAAAAAGTCTTTGTGGCTGTTCATAATTTTCCCTGTGAACAAACATTTTCTGTTAGCATACCACTGAGTGGGCCTATAATTTCCTCTCACTTCTTCCTAACTTCTTATTTTCCTTAATAATTATAGTCAATGCAGAAACTTCTGGCACAGTTCCATTTCTTTTTAAGCAAAATTCATAAATAAAAATATAGTAGCTTAAGCTTATTTCTTTTATCAAATGTGAGTGATATAAATTACCATATTTGCAGGTTTGAGGGGCAAGCAGTCAGAATTAAAATGGCACAGAAATAAAACTAAAGCCTATGAAGTCAATGTGAATGTATATATTGTGTGTCTTCAATGTGCCCTATCTGTGTATTAACTAAATGTCCTCATATGGACTGAGGCCAAGAAATGAGCCTTTAAACAAGACATAGGAATGGGACGTCTGGGTGTTTAGGGAAAGGTGAGTACAATCCAGTGATTTGTTCTAAAACCTCCACTTATCTCCAAAGTTACAGTCTCCGTTATTGAAGATGCATTATTTTTGGCAGGGATTTATAAACCTAAGGACCAAAAATAAAACATAAAACTCCCAGGTCTGAAAAAAGCAAAAACAAAAAAACACAGAGCAGAGGCCATTTGATAAACAACCCATCCAGTGCTTGGACCCGGCTACAGCTGATGGACATTTCATCGTGCCTGAAGTTTTTCCATGCCAGAGAACTCATTTCACTAAGCAACCTATTCTACGGTAGGGCAGCTCTAACCCAAACCGTTTTACTGGCTTCTTTGTACTGAGCTGTAACCCATCTTCTATCTGCTGGAACTAGTTATTATGGCTACAAAAGAGAATAAAATCCCTCCCCTTCAACCTGGCAGCATTTTAAGGATCTGAAGCTATTGTGTGTACTAGCACTCAAGTGTTTCTTCCCTGGGTTGGACATTCCCAGTTCCATTACCCAGTTTCCAGACCCCATACAGGCCATGTGGCTACACACTCCTCTGGGCATGCTCTAGTTTTGTTACTGCTCCTTTTGAAATATGGTACTAAGAATCAGACACCTTTTGGCTTTCTCACCCACAGGATAATTTCAAAGCCAGTCTCACTCAGAGGTTTTTGCTCAAGGAAAGTAATGTAAATTCCAGCCAGAGGTCACCAGTCTCAGACTGAGCACAGGAAATGAGTGCGGACTAATAACTTTCACCTTATTCCTGGGGATAAAAATAAAGAATATTTTTTCTTATAATGAAAGGAAAAGTGCACCGAGTAATATTCTGAACATATATGAGGGATCATAAAAGAAAAAGAAATTACATAGGAATATTATTCTGTGCTTCTACCTCCTTATTCATCTGAATTTCTCCTCCTTCAATCATCTGATGTTTCCTTCTTCCTTTGAGATGTTTCTCTCCTTGCATTATACATGACAAGGAGTTTCTCCATCCTTCCCACCTGCGCCATGTCCACCTGACTTATCTCATACCACTGGCTCAGGCATTTGATCTCTTCTGCACAAGGAGGCAGAAGGAGATGCTGATACTGGACTGGCCTCGCTCCTTGACTGTCCCTCTCCTCTGCCACCTCCTCCTGCTCTGACAGGGTGATGGTTTAATTGCAGGAACCAGGAGTGGCAGTGGGTAACCCATACATCACCAACAAGACACTGCTCTAGGAAATACTCCATGCTCCCTAGCACCTGCCAGAGGAGGACCACTTGTACCCAACACAGCATGAGAAGCACAATAAATCGACGGGAAAAAATGTCACATGGACCTAATTCTTCTCCCTTGTCCTTTTTCTTAAACGCTCCTCGTTATAGGTTGAATTATGTTCCCACAAAAGATGTTGAAGTTCTAACTCCCAGTAACTCTAAATGTGACCTTGTTTGGAAATAGGGTCTTTGCAGATTATTGAGTTAAGCTGAGGCCCTTAGGGTCCATCTGGACCCTAATTCAATATGACTGGTGTCCTTATGAAAAGGAGAAATTTGGACACAGAGGCACACATGCACAGAGGGGACACCATGTAAATATACAGGAGAAGAATGCCGCCTACAAGCCAAGGAGAACGGCCTGGAACAGGTCCTTCTTTAATGCTTTCAGAGGACAACACCTTGAGTCTGGACTTCTGGCCTCCAGAACTGCAAGACAATAATCTTCTGTTGTTCTAAGCCACCCAGTGGGGAGTACTTTGTTACAGCGGCTCTAGGAAGTATTACGCTTCCTAGAGCTGTACACTTCTTTTTCCTCCTAATAACCTTTTGTTTTCTCCCAATGTTTTTCTTCTCTCCTTGCTAGTTCCTCCATATAGCAATGGCAGCAGCTTTAGACTACTTACATCCCTTGCTAGTTGAGGGAATAGACAGTGAATAAGTTCCACAAGGAAGAAATGACTTTAAGTAGCCCTTGTGTTCCCACGTAAAGTCAGAAAAGTAGTGTAAGCCACTATCTCTTTCCTTTCTCTCCCATTTGTTCTAAATTTGTTTCACAACCTTTTCCTGCTCAGTGCAAATTAGTATGTTTAACACATTCATTCCATAGGGATTGCTATTGTTCTATTTTTCTATTTATCTTTACCCCAGAAGTTATTTAATCGGCTTGCTGGATTATTTATCGCCATTTTTACTTGTCACTGTTGATAAGCAAACAAAAATATGTATTAGGCAGAAGCTTTAATGAGAGAAAGGGAATTCCAGTGGAAAAGAATGTTCCCTCTCCAATCCCTAATGAAATTGATTTAAAAATAAAATAAAATAAGAATATGCATAGCTAGTAGGATATTCTAGAACAAGGGTTACTGCTAAAAGTAAAATCTTAGGCTTTTAACAATTATTTAAGACATTAAGGTCTTATTTTTTGAGCTTTAATAACACCTCACATCCCAATGCCATTGTAAGTTTGCCACACCAAGACAACTACACTTATTCCAAAGTTGACTTTTTTACAGTAGCAAATAAAAATTTTAAAAACCAGGAATGAGGGAGATACCCATGTACAGAAAAGCAATTTGTAAATGGAAGACACATCATGCTCTTCATGCCCCAAACCTCTTTCTACAGATTATTGGCAAAAGGCACTTTTTAAGTCCCTACTTATTCTAAGGGCTGAGTTAAACGGTCCAAATGGACTATAGCCTTATCTGACTTATGAATGGGAAGTATTCCAAAAGTTATTTGTACATAAATATCTTTAGTACTTAAAGCAGACTTTTGGCCGGGCATGGTGGCTCATGCCTATAATCCCAGCACTTTGAGAGGCCAAGGCGGGTGGATCACCTGAGGTCAGGAGTTCGAAACTAGCCTGGCCAACATGGTGAAACCCCGTATCTACTAAAAAATACAAAAATTAGCTAGGTATGATGGCACGCACCTATAATCCCAGCTACTTGGGAGGCTGAGGCAGGAAGAATCGCTTGAACCCAGGAGGCAGAGGTTGCAGTGAACCTAGATCGTGCCTCTGCACTCTACTGAGCAACAGAGATAGATCCCATCTCAAAAAAAAAAAAAAACAAAACAAAACAAAAAACACGGACTTTAATGTTCATTGGTTCATCCTTTCAACAAATGTTTATTTAGTGCCTCTAAATGCCAGACACTGCTAAGGATTGAGTGGTAAGAAAGCATGCAGGGTCTCTGCTTTGCCTTTTCTGAGCGAATAAGCTAGTGAGAGGGACAGGCATTATTTTGATATTACAAGTGTGAGCAGATTGCTACAAAATGGGCTAAGGACTATGAAAGTGTGGGTAGTGAGAGGATAGACAATGGGGCCAAACTTAGGGAAATGAGGTGTTATGAGCCAGCATAATGAAGGACGGGGGAGGCCGCAGAACAGCTTCCAAGTGGAAGGAACACAATGTGTGAGAAGGGGATGAGAAAGGGATGAGAAGGGGCCACAGTAATTACGGCTCCAGCTCAAGCCACAGATCCCTGGGACCTGTAAGAGGTGGCACTCTATCAACACTAACCCACATTCAAGATCCCAGGAAAAGATGGCTGGGGGTACCCAAGAGGGAGTGTGGAGTGCAGAGAGAGAAAAGGCAGCATTTTGACATAGACAATCGTTTCTTGGACATCTTCCAAAATTATTTTATGCTTTCTCCTTCTCTAATCTCCAGGTCCTCATGTGCCCTTGAGCTGTGGACTCCAACACTGCTGTTTGCAAAAAGAAGATGGCAGGAAAGGATGGCCCTGCAAAGTGTGCCATCATGAGTGAGCATCTCTGTCTACTCAAACTCTGATTTTTTCACTGCAGCCGACTTAGTGAGGAATATGGGCGCACTAAGTTATAAAATATAAGAATGACAGAAGGCCTTTCTTGTTGTGTATGTGTTTGTTCCAACTGATAGGACTGAAAAAAAAGTAAAGTAAAAAATATCAGGAAGGATAGAAGCAAATATTCTTGGGCAGGAGGGCACTGACTGGGAGATCAAATTATGGATCTGTTCTTATTTTTTTTCCAACATGTTTCTGTTTCCTAATTGAGCTCAGAGGTTCTCTGAAGCATGGTGCGTAATCCTTTGGCATTAAGAAGCTATTCTGGCCAGGCACGGTGGCTCACGCCTGTAATCCCAGCACTTTGGGAGGCTGAGGTGGGCGGATCACTTGAGGTCAGACCAGCCTGGCCAATATGGTGAAACCCCGTCTCTACTAAAAATACAAAAATTAGCCGGGCATGGTGGCACATGCCTGTAATCCCAGCTACTTGGGAGGCTGAGGCTGGAGAATCGCTTGAATCCAGGAGGTGGAGGTTGCTGTGAGCCAAGATTGAATCACTGTACTCCAGCTTGGGAGACAGAGCGAGACTCCAACAAAAAAAAAAAAGAAGAAGAAGAAGAAGAAGAAGAAGTTACTCTGCTTCTCAAATGATGTAACAGGAAAAGATGTGTTGAGGATGCATAGAAAGGTGGGCTTGTGGTGGGTTGGGCACTGGGGGAGTAAGAATGAAGAGTTCACTATCAAAGCAGCAGGAAGAGGAACGGGAAGCCAGAGGGTAGAATGCCTACCAGGGTTTTCACCTATAAGGAGCACAAACAAAGCTTACACCATACCTGGGCACTCTCCCTAGTTCCACTAGAGAGATTCAAGGGGGCTGTCACAGAAGTTGGGAAAGGATGATGTGGGACCAAAGGCTTTGACAGTCTCTTGAGTAAGATTTCCAGCTGGCAAGCGAGAGATCCAGCTAGTGATGTTGGTAGAAGCTGCCCTTTATCAACTCAGCTGGTCAATGTGATCACAGACAATAACAAGTTGGCAGGTGTGCAAACCCCTGGATGTCTCTGCAAGAATTCTCAGAGCATATGCCGTCGGGTCAATACCGGAGCAATCACTTTGCATAAAAGGGACAACAACAGCTGATGCTTGGTGCCCAGCACTGCTCTCTATGTCTAAGTATACCAACTCATTTAAAATTTTCAGTAATTTCTGAGGTGGCCAATATTTTTGCCTTTATATCACAGTTAAGTTTTGCTCAAAGTCATATACCTAGTGAAGTGGCAAAGCTGGGATTCAAACCATCAGCAGTTTGGCTCCAGAGTCAGGGCTCAAAACCATACAGTATGCAGGTGACTTGTTTAAACAGAGCGTTTTATATAAAATACTGCCTAAACCTTAAGTCAAGCAAAGGGATTGGTGGAAGACTGGGTGATCTGAGTATTCAGGACTCCTCCTGGACTGAGAACCGTGCCCATTCATGCTGCTACCCTGATGGCAAAACCATCCCCAGCAGGCACCGTAACAACCATTCTTCAGATGAGCATTTATTTTTTTTTTTTTTGAGAAAGAGTTTCACTCTTGTTGCCCAAGCTGGAGAGCAATGGCGTGATCTTGGCTCACCGCAACCTCTGCCTCCCGGGTTCAAGCAATTCTCCTCCCTCAGCCTCCCGAGTAGCTGCAATTACAGGCATGCGCCAACATGCCTGGCTAATTTTTTGTATCTTTTTAGTAGAGACGGGGTTTCACCATGTTGGCCAGGCTGGTCTTGAAATCCTGACCTCAGGTGACCCACCGGCCTCGGCCTCCCGAAGTGCTAGGATTACAGGTGTGAGCCACCGTGCCCAGCCCGGATGGGCATTATTATAATGGACATTATAGTGCTGCAACTTCTTGGTCATAAATATCAAAATCCTTTAAAAATAATTCCATAGTTGGATGCTTTGAGGCTTGGGCTCCCAGACAGTCTTCGGTAGATATGCAAGCCAAGAGGAAAGTGCACATCTCTTCACCCAATAATCAAGTAAGGAAGCTTAGAAATTCAGAAGACAAAGGGGAGACATACCCCCAACCCCCATATTCTTCCCCACAACCCCATAATTAACTCACCTATTAAGTAGTCCCTAGCTGATTGTAGAAACACTGGAGAGAAGAGCTTCAGGCCATACACAACGTAACTGGGAGGGTGCCTGGCTTTGGCCCCTGTATCAAGAAGCAAAATAAGGCCACACAGCACACAAAAATAGATTGGTCTGCTATATGTTATGATTTGGTTGTGTCCCTAGAAAACAAACACAATTTCTGAATGGTACCTCTTATTTTGATTAAATGAAAAAAGCCTCATAGTCAATAATTTACACTATATCATATAACTTATACATATAACACATTTTCCCCCAAACACCACAATTCATATACAAAAAAAAAAAAAAAAAAAAAAAAACAGGAAAAAAAGAAAAGAAAAAAAAAGTCTGATTCTTATTCTGTCAAACCAGAATGAGACTATCAAAAAAAAAATGTTATGCCTATCATTCTCAACAAGATTTACCTGAAAATTTAATTACCATCCTGAGATAAAATCTAGATCTAATTCAATGCTTTCCCCAACAGTGAAACTTCCATTCATCTTGTTCATTCCAAGTGCAAAACTAATTTAAACCACTGTTTGCTCTACACTTGGGTGCCACTATTAATAAGAAATAGAATTATAATTTGTGGGCTTTAATTTCCCAGTCTCTTAGAAAGCAAGACAATATGGGTATGAAGTTATACCTGCAGAGATTACATAAAATGTCTTAGTGTGCACAGTGGAATCATTCAGCTTAAAAAAAGTGTTATTTATACTATGTACACAGCATTTTCCTGTGAGGGATACCAAATATTTAGCAGACCTGATCTTATCCCTATGCCTATTGTTATGAGGCAAAGTAGAATTATTTTTTATTCTTCTTGAATTGAGAGAAAAATTAAGGAAAAGATACAACATCAACTTTTCAGGGCAAAAGCCAACAAAAAATTTACATCTCATAAATCAATGCACAATTTATAAGATTCAGGGGGAAAAAAACAATGAAAATGAATTGGGAAAAATGTCTTTTGCAATTCATGAACTGCCTTGAGTGTAAAAAGGAAGGATTAAAGTGATATGGTTTCAGATGTGAATTTTTAAAGTCACTGCCTTGAACACGTTATATTTAGAAATGCAATTTAAATTGCCACTGCTTCTATAATAGAAATCGTCCTATTCTAAGACCATCTTTTAAGAGGAAGGAAAACACAGTCTGTCCATGGAGGCTGGCTATGCTTGGCCCAGAGTCCAGGTTCAGTCTTAAGAATACTTGTACTCTTATGAAATTTCCTTTTGAATCCAACTAGGTCATAGATTAATGGGTATGGGAATACTTTTGTTGCATTTTTAAAAACTGAAGCTAAAGCCCAAGTTCAATCTAAATGTATTTCTCATCAAGTGAATAGCAAAATAAATGTGTTGGTATAAATAACGATGCAGTATACAAATACACATGTATATGAGACATTTCCTCAAACTGGCATGGTTTAGGAAATATCATTAAATAGCTACTTTCCACTTGCTCTGATTTTTTTTCTTTGATTAAAAGGTTAAAAATACATTATTCTAAAAATTAAAAGTCTTTAGCCTTTAACAAGTCTGAGATAGTATTTTGAATCTTCCAAGTCAAACTTTACTGGGCATGGGAAGGTTTTCTCTCTATTTGTAATTTATGAAACAAAACTTATAGCACTGTCACAAAAAGCCTGCCCTCATCACCATGTTACTGCTTTACCACATTTTCCCATTCTATGTTTTGGGTCCCCAAACCATACTAAGCATTTTGCTAATACAAGGCACACAAACCACTTTTTTTTTGAGACCGAGTCTCACTCTGTCGCCCAAGGCTGGAGTACAGTGTTATGATCTTGGCTCACTGCAACCTCTATCTCCCAAGTTCAAGTCATTCTCCTGCCTCAGCCTCCCGAGTAGCTGGGACTACAGGCACCCGCCACCATGCCTGGCTAATTTTTTGTATTTTTAGTAGGGATGGGGTTTCACTATGTTGGCCAGGCTGGTCTCAAACTCCTGACCTCAGGTGATCCACCCGACTTGGCCTCCCAAAGTGCTGGGATAACAGTTGTGAGCCACTGTGCCTGGCCACTACTTCTGTTTGCCTTGATTTCTGAGAACACCTGTTAATAAAATGTCCCTGCTCTTCAATTCCTACTGCCACATATGAATCAATCATCAAATCTCCTAAGGACTGATTTTTTAATTTTTCCAGTAGAAAAATTCCAGTAGCTCCGCCAGCTGAAGTCTGATCATAATCTCTTAAAAACTCATTTGACACCATCAGGCCCCATCTGCTTTTAACCTTAAAATACACTGTAGGGAGCACCAGTGGAATTCAGCTGGGGAGCATCTTGCAAGGCTATTGCACAAAAGCAGATCTCTGTGTGCATTTGCGTTTTCCATCAGCCCTACCTCCATAAGCCGTCTCATCACCCAAATGCTAGTCTCAGTGCAGAGAAGGAGCAAGGTTCGAGACTCGAACAAAAACTCCAGGAGTCCTGCCTGTGGCAAGCAGTGGTGCCTGTGGCTAAGTGACGAGGCCATCCTAATTATCCTCTTAGAGACAGTGGAATGGTCAGCTGCTTCGAATGTTCTGTTGTTGTGAAGTGGGGAGAAAGGTTTTTGTTGTAAGGGAGCTGGGGTGTCTGGGAAAATTGTAGAGGCACACGGCTTGGCCTCAAGGGGAATGACCTGAGGTCTGTGCACAGCCTGGCCAGGCTGCCTCCATCCTCTCTCTCAGCTCTGCTGCATGTGCCAGCTCCAGGCTTCATTCCCTGGGACAGAAGAGAGCCCCTGACATCTGCTGAGTTGACAAATGTTCCTGTCTCCCCCACATTCAGATTTTTTTTTTTTTTTAAAGAAAGGATCTTGCTTTGTCACCCAGGCTAGAGTGCAGTGGCATGATCATAGCTCACTGCTGCCTCCCTCTCCTGACCAGCTATTCTTTTTGACAACTGATATAAAACAACAACAGCCACAACAGCTAATGTTTGTCTGGCCTTTCCTGCATCCCAGACACTGAGTGTCCTACCTACTTCAAGTGTATTCATGTAGCGAACCCTCAGAATACCCTGAGAAGCATATACTATTCTCATTTTGATAAGAGTAAACTGAGACATAAGGATGAAGAAACTGTCCCAGGCCTCACCAACAGAAAACAGCATGGCAGAGTAAGGACTGGAGCCCCATTTGCCTGGCTTCCTCTACCAACCATGGGGAGGCATGCATGTGGCACTGGATTCTCCAGACCCAAGGACTCAGCCTGACATCACAAAATTTCATTCATACTCACCACTCTTTAAACACAGAATGTGAACATTACTCATGTGAAGCAAATTCGGAGAATGAGGAAAGCATCCATGATAGTCTTAGGGTGTCAGTTTTTTCAAAGGACTCTGGGCAGAGAAAAGGGCTCCTAACTTGCGGAAGGTGTCGAAAACCCAGACATTCTCTGCCCATTTCTCGGCTGTTGCCCTGTGACATTATGGTCACGTACACTGAAGTCTCATCACTGCAACAAGGGTTTGCTGTGTTTTATCATTTCTCACAATGGTGTAGGTTAGTTTAATTAAACATTATTTTTTGGTGGCTGTTGATGATTTCGTTTTTACTTTAGCTTTAGCAGTTCACTTGTACATTCAGAGCCATCCTAAATGTTCATAATGCTCTTTGGTTCCCCTTGTATGTGGAGCAAGCAAGGACAGCTGGGGGCGGGCACCCACCACCCCACTGTGACCCTACACAGCAAATATTTTATGATCCACACTTTGTATATACAAGAGAATCCAAAATATTTTAAGGAATTCTCTTTGTATGGAAGAGAAGCAGTAGCCAAAGGGTTAAATAATTCTCACCGGTTTACTATTGAGATATTAAGGTACAACGTCAATTTAAATATAGCAGAAATGTGATAGGCTACTTTAAAAATTGAAAAGAAATAGGCAAATAAGATTCTTTAAGCTTAGTTTATCGTTGAATTCTACAGAACAATTTATGTTAGGTCCAACTTCGTAACTTTCAGATCTGTGAATCCTGACAAAATGGCAGATGCAGTTGTCCAGGGAAGAGGGCAGTGAAATGGGTATCAAAGTGTTCATCAAGTGCCGTCCAGGGCACTCCACTCCGCTATCTCCTAGTTCACGTATTTTCCTACTGTCTCAGCACTGCCCTCAAAGGCAGTGAAAGAGAGCAGTAAGAGTGGTGACCTACATTCTGCCTTTAATCAATGGTAGAAATTAAGTATGATTTGAAATGGTTTCTGTTTTAACTACTACTGTTTTGAGCAAAGACACAATTGAATATTATTTGAGAACTTTTCATCAAGATCCATAAAACTAAGTTGACCTTCTTATTTCTTAGGATTGAGTATTGAGAAATTATTTCATGTCATTCAAAATCATTCCTCTGATAAGCACTACATTAGCCAGGTGATCAAGGTCAACATCAACAGAGATAAGTCATATTGATAATTTGTCCCGTTGATGTGATGTGATCCATCATGTTACCTCTGTGGTTTTCCTCCTAAAATCCATAATCCCTATCTTATCGTGAGATAAACATAAGAAAAATCCCAACTGAGAAACAGTGTACAAACTACCTGACCAGTCCTCCTCAAAACTGTCAAGATCATCAAAAACTATTAGCATACTGGCATATTAGTATATATGTTCCTTGGATTTCTTCCAGTATCCACCTCACCCTATATATTTTTTTAAGTTTGCCAGAAACTGTTTCCTTTTAGAATCAGACTAATAATTTTCAGGCTTAAGGAAAATCTGAGAAATGGTCACAGCCAAAAGGAGCCTACAGAGACAAGACGGCTATTATAATGTAATTTGGTGCCCTGGATGGGAACCTCAAACAGAAAAAGGGCATTAGGTAAAAAACAAGGAAATCTGAATAAAATGTGGACTTCAATAATAATGTATCAGTATTGGTCCATTAATTGCAACAAATGTATCATATTGTGACTAATGCTTGAGGTTAATACAGCGAAACTGGGAATGGGGTATACAGACACTCTTAGTACCACTTTCCCAATTTTTCTGTAGATTTAAAACTACTCTAAAATAAAAGGTTTACTTACAAAAAATAATCTCCAATAATTTCTACATAACCTGAAGTGGATACCAAATGTCCTCCCTGAATAGTAGCAACAGTTAATTGAATAGAATGCATAACAAGCTGTAGCCCTCTTTGGAGTTTGTACTGTAAGGAATCAAGACACATATGTAAAGAGAAAGGAAACATTTACAGAGGACTTAGTATACTTAGTATACGCTAAAGCCTGCACCAGGCATATTACATACATTGCCCAGTGCACTCTTTTTTTTTTTTTTTTTTTTTTTTTTTTTGAGACAGAGTCTCACTCTATCACCCAGGGCTGGAGTGTAGTGGCGCGATCTTGGCTCACTGCAACCTTTGCCACCCGGGTTCAAGCGATTCTCCTGCCTCAGCCTCCCGAGTAGCTGGGATTACAGGTGCCTGCCACCGTGCCCAGCTAATTTTTGTATTTTTAGTAGAGACGGGGTTTCACCACCTTGGCCAGCCTGGTCTTGAACTCCTGACCTTGTGATCCACCCTCCTCGGCCTCCCAAAGTGCTGGGATTACAGGCATGAGCCACCATGCCTGGCCACCCAGTGCACTCTTTATTAAATCCAACTGATGTTATTCTGATTATCCGTATTTTGCACAAACACAAAAATACTGCTAACAATTGCTAAGTGCTTCAGGGCCAGATACGGTGCTAAACACTCAGGGACACTGCATTGTTTCATTCTCTTGCAATCCTGTTTTATTATTTATTCTTCTTTTGCAGATGAAAAACCTATGATTGAGAGAAGTAAGTTTCCCAAGCTCTCACAGCTTACACATGGTAAGGCTGCATTCAGATATGAACCCTGTATGCATTTGGTTACTCCAATATTTCTCAAAGTGTGATCTGTGATTGCCTCCACCATAATGACTTGGGAGTGTGTAAAAATGCAGATTACCGGGTGCTGTCCCAGCCAGTAGAGGGGAGGGGGGAAATCGAGCTCTGCCTCTGGCTTGCTCAGGCGATTCCGGGCACACTGCTCTAGTTTTTCACTGTCTCTTGGATATTCTACTGAATTTTGCTTTCTGGGTTATTAGTGGTTACTGTCAGTTACACATATATGGACACCTGTGTAAGCAAATTAATATCTTCATTCCCCATTAATATATTGCCATCTCTGATCCTCAAATTGCAAAGTTTCAGTTAGACAGTATCCAACTCCTAATCTTTCTAAGCTCTCCCAGACCTATTTTCTTTTAGAATCAAACTAATTTCTTTTGAGCCCAGGGGCTACTGTATCATACCTGTTGCCATGCTATTATTATTCATTCTGCATTTAAAATTGAAATACACAGTGTTATGCAAAAACTTTATTTTCATTTCGCTATCTTCTGATTTTAACAACTTGCTCAAAATATGCCACCTGTGCTCTTAGAAGCACGCAAAAAAGAAAGGTCTGTCAATCACTCTAAGAGCAAAAATTGGCTGAATTTATTAACAGCTACCCTCCACAAATGTGCAAAATAGTGCCGTCTGAAAAGCAGTTTGGTTCCTTTCACAGCCCCTTATGAATAAAAATCAGCAGCAAGCTTGAGAATCGTCTCTGTGTCCCAAACCTGGGTTCCCGATCCTGACCATCTCCTTTCTAAAGCTTTCTATCTACAAATGGGAGGTAATAAATCTGTCTTCTAAATACCCACATGGTTCAGTCAGATTGCAACAAGAAATATTTTATAGCTACCATATTTTGTTTCTTCATTAGAAGTACTGGAGAAATGCCAACTCAAATCAGAGACTAATCTACTTAGAAATCTGTGTAAGCAAATTAATTACTGCAATAAACATAGTTAAATGTCTGACTATGTCTTACAAAAGTGATTTCATACTGTCTCACTATATGACATGCTTGCTCAGATAAAGGAATAGCAGCTTGATTGATTCCTCTGGGAACTAAATAATATAACTCCAACCTAGAGCAGTGGCATACGGGCCATAGTAACAGACATTACAAATCCACAAGGATTATGCAGCTGTACTTGCCATCCACCTTTACTGGGATGTCCTGCATTATTTCTGAAAGGATATGCAGGAAAGGAATGTTTAACAGCATAGAACACCCCTCCCCAGAGTCATGCAGAAAAACAGCGACACTGAAGTGCAGTTAGGAGTGAGGAGAGTTGACTGAGGCAGGAGAATGGTGATGTGGCATCTAGGGTGGGCTTGAACAAAAAAGCTTCAAAGCTGTACATCTCTCTCACACCACCTAACCCAGATTTCTGACGATAATCACAACAATACATCTCAATACCCTAATTATGCTGCTTCTACTTATCTTGACATTCAGACTCTAGGATAAAAGAAGATGTATTACATGTAAACCAATTATGGGGAACAGAGGAATTTAACAAGATAGCAATGTATGCCATGTGATCGTCCAATTATAAGCTTTTCTTAATTACTATGAGCTAAACAGGAGCTATCACAGATTGAAAAATGGGTCCTAAATCCTGGATATAATTTTTTTTAAAAGCACAATAGAGGGAAAAATCAAGCTTTCTTTCATTGGGAGGGTTTTCCAGGGCTACAGGAGATTGCCACAACAAAGGAAAGACAGTTGCTTAGCGAGCTGGGGAGTCTACCTGGCGGTGAACTCGGTACAGAGGCATGTGGCTCAGATGCCTGCAAGGGGCACTGCCTGTCCCATAGCACCCACCCCGTAGGCCACCATGGATGAGCAAAGGGGCAGCAGGCTCAGAGGAAAGCACATGGGTGTGTTTCAGAGTTCACAAAATAATGCCAGGGCACCAACAGATCAGCATAGGTGAGCTCAGAGTCTTTGTTATGAATTAGCTCAAAGTTACAGAGATGAAAAGTAACAATATATGTGAAAATGTGGAATAAAGAGATTAGCTTCATGTAAAAAGAATAAACGATTCAGGGAAATGCAAGTTAAAACCACAATGAGCTATTACCTCATGCCTGTTATGATAGCTTTAATCAAAAAGACAAAAGATAACAAGTGTTGGCAAGGATTTGGAGAAAAGGAAACCCTTCTATACTGCTAGGGGGTACAGAAATCGGTACAGCCATTATGGAAAACAGTATGATTTCTCAAAAAGAAAATAAAAATAGAATTTTTAATTCTATTTGAATATGATCCAGCAACCCCACTTCTGAATATATATCCAAAGGAAATAAAATCAATATGTCCAAAAGATATACGCATCACCATGTTCATTGCAACACTGTTCACAATAGCCAAGACATGGTATCAACCTAAATGTCCATCAACACATGAATGGATAAAGAAGATGTGGTATATATATATATAATAGGAATATCATTCAGCCTAAAAAAAGAAGACCATCCTGTCATTTGCAACAACACTGATGAATCTAGAGGACATTATTAGGTTAAGTGAATTAAGTCAGGTGCAAAAAGAAATATACTGCAGGATGTCACTTACATGTGGAATCTAAAAAAGTTGAACCCATAGAAAAAGCGAATAGAATGGTGGTTACCAGGAGGCAGTGGGATGGGGAATGAGGAAAGATTGGCTAAAGGGTACAAAGTTTCAGCTGGACAGGAGGAAGGAATTCTGAAGATCTTCTGTATAGTGTGGTGACCATAGTTAATAATAATACACTGTTATACTCAAAAACGGCTAAGAGAGTAGATTTTAAATGTTCTCACCAGAAAAAAAAATGATAACTATATGTGGTTATAGATATGTCAAACAGCTTGATTTAATAATTCTACAATGTATACATATATCAAAACATCACCCTGTACCCCATAAGTATATACAATAAATTTTAAAAATAAGAATAATCATTCATGCCCATATAATTATATCACTAATAATAAGAGCTAACCTTTATTGAGCAATCTCTATGTGTCAGGTACTGTTATAGCACATTAAATGGATTATTTAATCCATGTAGGCATTTCCATTAGACCTATTTACACATAGGGAAACTGAGGCATGAAAAGGCCCAGTATGTTGTTCAGTGTCAAACATTCAGGTGGAGGAATCAGGACACAAAGACAGGCAGTCTGATGGCAACGTCTGCGGTCTTCCCCCAAGACTGCTCGATCTTTGTTGACTTGAATCCAGTGGGATAGGAAAGACTCTGCACACACTCTCCACCCACTGCCCCACACCTTCCCCCATACCACCCACACCATGCTCTCAGACTTAGCTGGAAGCTGGCCACCATGCACTTATATATATATATATTTGATATTTCTATTTTATATTCAGTATAGAGAGCTAGGTACAGACTTGGCCCTTTGACTAGATTTTGGCTTTTTCCCTGTCTTCAACACAGACAGACAAGAAAAGCTACTTGCCTGTATTTGGAAACTTACGTGTATTGGTGAGGCGGGGTCAGGCTGAACACTCTAAAACACAAATCAGAAGTGTCTGTGTCATCATCTCATGATTTCAAGGCTACATTAGTGACAGCACACGCTACTGGTAAGAATTAGATGTGGTCTTGCCTTTAGCAGGGAGTACTGGCAGCTGGCCATGACGAGGCAGAAGAGGAGCACCCACATATCTTTGCAAAAGCCTTGGCTCAAGGTCAGAAATCCAAGGAGGGAAACCAGGACAATGAGTAAAATCGCCAGTACATTCTCCTTGATGTCTTCAGTTCTGTGCAAAATATATACATAAAAGCAAAAAAAAAAAAAAAAAAAAAAAGTGTAAGTTTTGCCTTTTTTTTTTTTTTTTTTCTGAGATGGAATCTTGCTCTATCGCCCAGGCTGGAGTGCAGTGGCATGATCTCAGCTCACTGCAAGCTCTGCCTCCCAGGTTCAAGCAATCCTCCTGCCTCAGCCTCCGGAGTAGCTGGGACTACAGGCACCCGCCACCAAGCCCGGCTAATTTTTTTATTTTTTTTAGTAGAGATGGGGTTTCACAATGTTAGTCAGGATGGTCTTGATCTCCTGACCTCATGATCTGCCCTCCTTGGCCTCCCAAAGTGCTGGGATTACAGGCGTGAGCCACCGTGCCCAGCCAGTTTTGCCATTTTTAAACAGAATGCCTTCATGTTTCCAAAAAAATGAACCATGACAACACAGTAGTTACCTTAAGCAAGACTTTATTCCCCTGTGAGATTTTAGGGTTTCTTTCTTTCCTTATTCCTCATGCTATATAAACAAAATCCAACTTAATACCAGATTTTTGTTATTGAAGCAAATAAAATCTCATCCCATTGGATCTGCTTGGCCACTAAACTGGGTTTACTGGCAAAACGTAGTTAATGATTCCATCCATGACCATGAAATGTGTTTCAGATAAAGAGCTTCACTGGTTCCTTTCAATGGAAGGGGGTGGTAAGGGGGATGCATTCACACCTGGCCTAAGCAGACAATCATTTCCAGATAAAACTTTTGGTGTCCGAGTTTACTGTCAAATTTCAGGAGCCAGGAGAGCTCCAGCAGGAGAGTTGAGGGTGAGCTGCAACTTCCTGACAGTGCAGAGGACCTGCCCTGGGGTGTGTCGGGTCCACACTGTCTCACTGGGTGACTCTTGTATGGACTCCCCATACAAGGTATAGGGTAGAGAGGTGGGGTCATCCAGAGGTGGAGTGTTATCAGGTGGGTATGCAAAGGACAATGTAAGGCTGTTTTAGGATAGAGATAGGAAGGGGCTACAGGGCTGGATCATGTAGCCTAGGTAGAATAGGGAGGAAACTGAAGATGGCAAGGGCTGCAAGGTAAGAGAAATATGGTGGGGCAAATTGCTGGAGAGGACTGAGGAACATCTGAGGAAGTTAGAGAGAGATACAAAGGATGAGCAGAGACAGGATTATAATGTCAGAGGTGGAAGACTTCTGTGAGAGGATAAGATGCAGGGTGAGGCCATGGAAGGAAGTGGCAGAAATGGAGTCACAGGGGACGGCATGGACCACAGGGTCAGGGAACAAGGGGCCTGGGTGTTTGGGTGGGTCATTCGCAAGGATTCTGAGTATACTTCTCACCTTTCCAGTTTTTGCTCATATACCTGTTTTTCTACCCCACTAAGCTGATATTGTTTTTTAGACAAGAATATTTGGCTACTTTGTGCCTAGCAAGTAGGCAATTGTGAACATTTAAAAAAAAATAATAGGATATGTTGTTGAGAGACATTTGTGATTCACAGCAAAACTGAGGGGAAAGTACAGAGTTCCCACATAGCCCCTCCCCACAGACACATGCACACAGCCTCCCCCACCATCAACATCAACTGATGAACCAACATTAACACATCATTATCCATCAGTATCACCCAAAGTCCATAGTTTACATCCGAGTTCACTCTTGGTGGTGTACATTGGGTTTTGACAAATGTATAATGACATGTCTCCACCAAATGAGAACTCTAGTGAAAGTTCCACTGCCCTAAAAATCTGTGCCCCACCTATTCATCACTCCCCTACCCTAAGCCCTGGCAACAACTGATCTTTTTATTGTCTCCATAGTTCTGTCTTTTCCAGAGGACCATATAGTTGGAACCATACGGTATGTAGCCTTTGCATATTGGCTCCTTTCTTTAAGTACTATGCAGTTAACGTTCCTCCATGTCTCTGTGGCTTGGTGCCTCACTTCTTTTTATCTCTTATAGCATCTCATTGTATGAAGATACCACAGTTTGTTTATCCATTTGCCTTTTGATGGATATCTTGATTGCTTCTGAGTTTTGGCAATTATAAATAAAGCTGTTACAAACATTCATGTGCAGTGTTTTGCATGGACGTATGTTTTCAACTCATTTGGGTAAACACCAAGGAGCATGATTGTTAGATCGTGTGGTGAACAATATGTTTAGTTTTATAAGAAACTGCTGAATTGTCTTCTAAAGTAGCTGTACCATTTTGCATTCCCACCAGCAGTGAATGAGCGTTCCCGTTGCTCCACATCTTCACCAGCATTTGGTGTTGTCAGTGTTTTGGATTTTGGCCATTCTAACGGGTGTGTAGTGGTATCTCATTGCTGCTTTAATTTGCAGTTCCCTAAGGACTATTGATGTTGAATGTCTTTTCATATGCTTATTTGTCATCTGTATATCTTCTTGGTGGGGTGTTTCTTTAGGCCTTAAGCCCATTTTCGGGTTGTTCCTTTTTCTTACTGTTGAGTTTTAAGTGTTCTTTGTATACTGGATGACAATCCTTCGTTTTTTAAAATATTTTCTTCCATTCTGTGGAACATTTTTTAACGAATGAAAAAATGAGGGAAAAAGAACCCGAATCTAATGCTGACACCTGATGCTTCAATAGCTAACAAAAATGAGAGAAACAGTAAAGAGAAAACATTTGAAGAAATGAACAAATGCATGAATCATTTGATAGGGACTTTTTATATATAATTTCAGATAGATAGCTATAGAGATGATTGATTGATAGATACGTATACAGATTTCACAGATTCAAAGAAATAGAAAAATAAATAACTATAGTAAAATAGGTTTGGAGCTGGGGCTGCCGAGAGGCATAGCCTTGGGCCTCCTAAACAAGGAAGGATGGGAAACTCTGAGGACAACAGCCAGAAGGAAAACAATGGGTGATTTGGTTGACTGAACTGCAGCTGATATATTACAGAATAATAGAATAGGGTAGAAAGATAACATAGAAATATATAGAAAGGCTGAGTATTCAGATAATCATGAGGCTCAAGTTGAATTTTTTTTTTTAATCGGGGGAAACCAAAATATATTTGGCAAAAAGGAAATTGTGGGTATCTTTTATTTTCCACTGTGCACTTTTAATAGTGCTCAATATATTTGGTGTGTTGAGGTCCATGAAATTCATGATCTCATAACATTTTGATGGATACTTAAAAATATCCAAAGGTCTTTGAAATAAAATTTCAAAGAAAAAAAAAACCTTTTTCTGTTTGGGGAGGGCAAAGAATAAGGTTCCTAAAACATATTTTTCCTCCAAATTCTCCTCTGCCAGGATTCAATTCCTCTGCCCCCAGGTTCCCAATCCTCTCTCCCTCAGTTTCCTGTTTATCTATCTTTAAATATCGGGTTAAAAAGTTTACTTGCCAGGCAAAGAGTGACATGACTAAGGCTGTACTTTTGAAAGATTTATCATGCAGAGGTTTACAAAGTGCACTGGATGGGGAAGAGAACAGAGCAAGGATAAACAAAACTCCCAGGAGAGGTAATGAGGGCCTGGGAAGCTCACATGGCTGGGGAATAGGAAAGGACCCCTGACTCGAGGACACAACTCAGAGTGAGGCTTACAGAACTCCAAATGGATTATGGACAACGAAGGACTGATTGAAAGAATAAAGATTACTCCAAGATTTAAAAACCTGAGAAGTAAAGGATCATGGCAGAATCCATGGCAGAAATTAGGAAGGGGAGCCAATTTGCAAAGGAAAATTGGTTTCTTCCTTCATGCAGCAAAAGTGCTCCACACTGTTCTAGCTGCTTTGACATCAGTGAACAAAAGAGATGGGAGCTTCCTTTCCTGTGAGTGGTGCCATAAGTAAGTATCAACAAAAAAGTTCAGTAAAATATACAATATGTAAACATAAATGCAACAGAAAAAAGAATAGAACCAGGCGAGAGAAAAGGTGAGGGAGTTGGCACTGCAAACATCTGGGAGACGAATGTTCCATGCGCAGGAACTGCCAGTACAAAGGTCTTAAGCTGGAGGATTGCCTGGCATGCTTGAAAGACAAAAGGAAGGCCAGTATGGATGGAGAAAAGTCCACAGGGATAGTGGGAGATCAGGCCAGAAAACAAATTAGTGGCTACAGCATGGGGGACTTGAGGGCATTGTGAGCACTTTGATTTTCATTCTGAGTGAAATGGGGAGCCATTGCTGGGCAGTCGGTAAAGCAGTGACGTTGAAAAGACATATTGTGTTGGGTTAAGAATAGTGTACAGGGGCTGAGCATGATGGGCACCTGTGATCCCAGCTACTTGGGAGGCTGGGGCAGGAGGATTGCTTGAGCCCAGGAGTTTGTGACCAGCCTAGGCAACAGTCTAGGCAAATGAGTCTAGCAATGTGAGAAGTTAAAAAAAAATACTATACAAAGAGAATGAATGGATAGAAGCAGGGAAGATGCTATTGCAGTAACCAGATGAGAGATGAAATGGCTCAGACCAGGTGGTCACATTGACACTGGAAAGATGCAATAGATACACGTGGAAGGAACAGCGAAAATAACTTCCTACAAGAGACTGAATGCAGGTGTGAAAGGAAAGACGACTCAAGGACGACTCCAAGATATTTAAGCAGAGAAACCAGAAGGATGGAGTTTTCATCACCTGAGATGGGGAAGACCACAAGTGGAGCAGGCTTGGGTGAGGCTGAGATGAAGAGCTCAGTCTTGGATGTGAGATGTCATCCTGAAATCATGAGATGTCAATTTGGTAGTTAGATATGCAAGTCTGGAATTCAGGAGATGAGTCCAAGTTGGTGATATAAATCCGAGTGTCACTGGCATATTAAAAGCCATGAGACTGAATGCCATCACCAAAGAAAGGAGGGCAGATAGAGAAAGAATGAAGACCAAGAGCTTTGCAGCCACTGGGGACTTCAACATTAAAGGGTCAGGAGGCAGAAAAACCTGTAAATCTTCCCTTCCTATGTAGCAGTGACCAACAAGGCAGAAGGAAAACCAAGAGAATGCTGAGTCCTGGAAACCAAGAGAACCTCTACCAGGCAGTAGGAGAAATTAACTCTGTCAAATACTCCAAATGAGTCTAGTAACGTGAGAAGAAAAAGATGGAATCAACGGTGACCCTGACAAGGGCAGGTTCAACGGAGTTTTGAGGTTGGGGGAGCCTGAATGGGACAGGATTATTAGAGAATGAAAGGAGCAAATGGAAACAAACACAGGCAACCCTTCAAGGAGTTTTGCTGCAAAGAGGAGCAGAGAAACAGGACAGTGGCTGGTAAAAAAGTGGGGTAAGACAGGATTTTTAAAAAAATACTTTAAGTTCTGGGATACATGTGCAGAACGTGCAGGTTTTTTACATAGGTATACATGTGCCATGGTGGTTTGCTGCACCCATCAACCCGTCATCTAGGTTTTCAGCCCCGCGTGCATTAGCTATTTGTCCGAATGCTCTCCCTGCCCTTGTCCCCCACCCCCTGACAGGCCCCGGTGTGTGATGTTTGCCTCTCTGTGTCCATGTGTTCTCATTGTTCAACTCCCACTTATGAGTGAGAACATGCGGTGTTTGGTTTTCTGTTCCTGTGTTAGTTTGCTGAGAATGATGGTTTTAAGACAGGATTTTTAAGGATGAGAGCTATAAGTGTGTGTTCTCATGGTAACTGATGACAATTAGTTTAGTTTGAGAAGCATGAATGATTTCCTCTTTACTTGTCATATAGCTAGCTACCTCTCATTTTATATCTCAGTTTGTGTGTATCTTCCCCAGAAAAGCCTTTGCCAACCACCAGTTCGAACATCAGTGCCCTTCCCTCTCAGGTCTCTCTATCTCAGGCCTTTATGTGCTTCCTTCATGGCACCTATTACAGTTTTCTCTCCTCTCCCAGAAAGTAAGTTCCATAAGGGCAGAGACAATGGCTGTTTTATTTATCACTCCATACCCAGTGCCCAGTACAGATCCTAGCACGGAACAGGTGCTTTGGTTCATATTTGTTGAATGAATGAAATGTTGAAATAATGCACAGAAGGGCAACTTCTTATTTCAGATGCTGACCTGATCGACTAGATAAATGAAAATAAACCCTCAGTGTTTTGAAGGAAAGGGTAATGGCAAGATATGAAATCAGAGAATATAAGTAAGGAGAATAGGACAAGTCCAGAAACATCTGAGTAGAATAGGTGGAGAACTGCAGGCAAATAGCTGGAACTGCAACGGCAGGAACCATGAAACTACTGCCCAAAGACTAAGAAAACATTTTTAAGGAAGAACAGCCTGACTCTTTTGAAGAATGTCATGCAGGATGACTTAATCTATGGGAGTTTATAGCAATGATTACTGCAATTTTAGTGCTTGTTACCCACTGCTTTCTTCCGCTTCCTGCCTAGCTCTTACAGTTTGTTTTTATTATGCATATTATGCATTTTTACCCAGCTTCCCCAATGATTCCGACCCACAGCCCTGTTTGGGGATTATGCTCTCCTTGCAAAGGTCCCAAACAGCTCAGTTTTTCTAGGTCAGTATTTTGGGTTTCTTCCTCCTTCCTCACTGTGAGCTGTGAGTTCATGTAGTCCCTTTCCTTATTTTAATTGACTCTAAATTATAAAACCAGATCACCAATCCTGCTAACTGATGACTTTTGGTAGGCTTATATGGCTCTGAATTAAAAGTGACGTTGCCTCATTCTCAGCAAACTAACACAGGAACAGAAAACCAAACACCACATATTCTCACTCGTAAGTGGGAGTTGAACAATGAGAACATATAGACACAGGGAGGAGAACATCACACACCGGGGCCTGTCAGGGTTTGGGGGGCAAGGGGAGGGAGAGCATCAGAACAAATACCTAATGAATGTGGGGCTTAAAACCTAGATGACGAGTTGATAGGTGCAGCAAACCACCACGGCACATGTATACCTGTGTAACAAACCTGCACGTTCTGCACATGTATCCCAGAACTAAAGTAAAAAAAAAAAAAAAAAAAAAAAAAAAATGTTATGTTACCTATGAACTAACAGTCTAAATTTTAGTGTCTGGATTTGACAACATCTACTTTGGCTAGCCTAATTTTATTTATTTTTAATTTTTCTTCTTTCTGGGAGCTGGGCCACATTCCAAGTAATAATAATAATAATAGGAGCAACTAATATTTAAAGAACTCTTTCAATGACTAAATTGATTTAATCTTTACAACCTCCCTGTGTATAGATTATACCCATTTAACAGATAGGAAACGGACGCACTGGAAGGTTTCATAGCCATCCTAAGATCATAGCACTAATAAGTAGTAGGGACCAGGTTTAATTCCCAAGGCTGACTCGAGTCCAGGGATTCCCCAACCAGCTGAAGGATCTATGGATAAGGGAATGGTGCTATTTCTAGGTCATCCCTAAGCACAACATTTAAAAACCCATTGTAACTTGCCAGAAAGGTGATTAAAATAATGAAAACATAAGCTTTTAAAAAGTGCGGTCATCCTCATCATCCTTCCTAGACTTCCAATGGATTTCCAATTAATTTTTTGTCACCAAGTAGATTTTAAAATAACAGACAAATCTATAGATACATTTATTTTTGTTTTGACATGAAGGGTTAATGCAAGCTAGTCCAACTTTCAATAATTTCTTTTTAACAGAAAATAATTAATATTTCAAAAATGCCTCATTTACCAGAATATACTATCTTGGATTTTTAGTTAAGTATTAAATGTTCCTTCTAAGTGTGTGCCCCTTGGGTAACATAGTGTTGTTAGGAAAACCATTATAACTCCATTCCCTGACTTGTGGGTCCTGAAATTTACTGTTGTAATTTTGCATGACTATAGTTTTTTTCATATGTGATCACACTATTTAAGACATTACTATAAAAACCAGTCACTGGGGGACCAATGACAACAAGACAGGCAACCAGTTTTTCCACTGCCCCCAAGAGCTGGCATTAAACTGTGAAACTCAGCAATTGCTTATGGCAGCATTAGTAATAGCATCTGAAATTTTCAAGCCAACCGTGTAGTCAGTGCTACTCAGCCCCTGAACATCATAAACTGTTATGTGCAAATTTTGAGGTAGGAAAAGATACAAATGAGAAGCCCCCACTCCTTAGGCCCATCTCCATCATGTTTTCTTTTTTCTGGGTGGGGGGGAGATTAAGTTTTGCTCTTGTTGTGCAGGCTGGAGTGCAGTGGCACAATCTCAGCTCACTGCAGCCTCCGCCTCCTGGGTTCAAGCAATTCTCTAGCCTCAGCCTCCTGAGTAGCTGGAACTACAGGCATGCACCACCACACCCGGCTAATTTTTGTATTTTTAGTAGAGATAGGATTTCACCATGTTGGTCAGGCTGGTCTTGAACTCCTGACCTCAGGTGATCTGCCCGCCTCAGCCTCCCAAAGTGCTGGGATTACGGGCTTGACCCACCATGCCCAGCCTCCATCATGTTTTAACTAACCTTAACTTCTCCTCCTCTTTCTCCCTACCCAGTAACCACAGCTCCAACCCCACAACGTTTTGCTGTATGGAACAGTGGTAGGAGGAGGTGAGAAAGGGGAAAGGAGATTAAAGGAAAAATTAACATTCAAGTGAGTGTACATCAGATACAAGTGAGCAATAAGAATCCAAGGTGTCCGGGAAAGAGGCAGAAATCACCCTACTTCATCTTCCCTCCTCTCCCCATGCCCACACCCAGTCAAGCCAGGCCCTGTGCTACAGATGGGCCTCAAGCTTTCCCACAAAAATAGGGCAAGACGTGAGTACACCAAAGCATGCTACTGTGCCCAAACAAACCTTAAATACAAACCATTTCTTATTTCTTATTGTAACTTATTATTTCTCATTATCTCTTATTATTAATATGTTAATTTATTATTAATAAGAGTTACTTATTGTAACTCTCTTATTTCTCATTGTAACTGCTGAACTACAATTTGTTGTCAGGATCTTTTTGCTTTAACTTTGGGTTGTCAGCAAAGGAAGCGTACAACTTGAAAATGTGCAAGTGACAATGTTCTCTTTGAAAGCATGCAGTGGGCACTGTCACGTCCCCGGTGTGCCTTCCGACAGTGTGTGTGCATGCTCAGTGGCTTACCGATCAAGTAATGCCAGCAAGGTCAGTCGATCATACCAGACTTTAATCCACTTGCCAGGGAAAATGATAAATTTGTAAAACTGCTCTCGGTTAAATTTTCCTTGTGTTGAAGAACATGACGAGGCTTCCAGATCCTGACTCACATGCTTTTAGATACCAAAAGAAACAACAGAAAAAAGGGCTTTATGTTGTCATGGCATGGCCACAAATATATATATATATGTATACACACACACACATATATATGTACACCATAATTTAAAAATACAAAAAGCAAATGTTCAAATTCTGATATGTAAACCAACATATTTCATTCAAACTAAATACTCTAAGAAAAGGATAATGATCAACAAAAAGCGCTTTTCTTACCAACATACTTCAATTTCTTTACAACGTACCATTAAAATTCTGCTACTCATCACGTCAAAATGCTACTGCTCATTAAGGCCAAGAAACTGCTATAAAAATAGTTCTTATGAAAAGTAGGAATTCAATAAAAGATCTTAAATGACTTCATTTCTGAAAAGTGTGTTAATGTTGAGATACATATTCAAATTTTACTAAGAGTAAAAAGATTTTCATTGGCAATATCTAGGTTATTGGTGAAGCCTGCTATAAGAAAAACTGAAATATTTATTGAAAAAATCTAAATCATTAAAACTAAAATGTGGAGAAATTTAGACCCAGATAGTAAAAGTTTTAACCCCTAATTCATCTCTTATTAGCTCTAATTCAGTGGAAAAGAATTCAATTTTGAAAAAAAAAAATTAGTCTTCATTGATTTGTCTATCAAATACTTAATGAGGGATTCTTAGGAGCCTGGAACAAGGTTGGGAACACGCAGTTTTCCATGTAGTCCCCCTAGTGAAGATGTTGGTAATAGAATGTGTTTAGTTAATCCTAACAGTGAGGTCCCAGATGAAGTGGAGAGCCTCCTATTGGACATCCCACCTGTGTTTTGTTTCCCGTTCTCCGTGTACAGAAGCTGTTAAAACCAAAGCTCCCATGCAGCTCCTCCTTCATTGTTTGACCGTTTGCTTGTCACTTCTTGCTACTATCTTAAGCCTTCTCTAGATACCCCAGCCCCCTGCAGAGCTTCTATTTCTAACCTCTATATATCTTTAATTGTGGGTGAAAAACAAATATCATAAAATTTACCATCATAACCATTTTAAGTGTAAAATTCAATAGTGTTAACCATATTCACACTGTTGTGCAACAGATCTCTGGAACCTTTCATCCTGCAAAACTGAAACCCCAACTCCCCATTTACCCTCCCCCCAGCCTCTGGTAACCACTTTTAGGTACCTCATGTAAGTGAGATCACACAGTAGTTGAACCTTTTTGTGACTGGCTTATTCCACTCGGCATAGTGTCCTCAAGCTTCATCCATGTTGTAGCATGTGTCAGAATTTCCCTTCTTTTTAAGGCTGAATAATACTCCTTGTATGTCTGTATCACGTTTTGTTAATCCACTAATCTGTCAATGGATATTGAAGTTGCTTCCACCCTTTGGCTTTTGTGAATAATGCTGCTAGGAGCACAGGTGTGCAAATATCTCTTCGAGCTCCTGCTTTCAATTCTTTTGGATATACACTCAGAAATAGAATTGCTGGATTATTCTAATCCGTATTTTTGTTTGGTTTTGCCTTGCACTTTTCCAACATGGATTTAAGGTTATGATTTCCTCTAGGCTGACAAATATAAGACACAGGAGATTAAAAAGAAGGGCAAAGACAAGAAAGGGATGAGTATGGGACAAAGAGCAGCGGTGGAGGTGACATTGGCTTTTAAAGGACTTCTACATTTGTCTTTGGCTTACAAAGCACAAGGTTATACATGGGCAGACAGCACAACTTTTTTCCTAACTTAGGAGAAGTCACTGATGTCAAAGTGCCTGGCATGCATTCATTAGAGGCCACAGCAGAACTCTCCAAGAAAGCAAATTTTACCATCTCTCCATTTCCAGATGCTAATCTGCTTACTCAGCCTATGGAAAATGGAGTTATTCCGGATATCAAATATTAATGCAAAAGGCATCTGAAGGGAAAGTTGATCTATCATGAAGGCAATATACAGGATGAGTTGGACTGAATGATAACAGTAAAGTTGAGATTGTAAGTGCTACTTGTGCCTGGAATTCTATTTCAACACAGAAGAGAGCTTTGCGGAAACTGCCTGGTGTCATCTCAGCAGGAACAGCTTCTTTGCATGATGATGAACTTGTGGTTTATAGTAAACCTCCCCCGACAAAGGAGTCCTTTTCCTTGAAGCCACATGGACAAACAGTGTAAATAAGAATCAGGTGCACAGGAGCCCATGGTTTACTGTCCTTGTTATGTAAGAATCCATGTATGAGGCATAAACAGGTCAAGGGTAAGCAAGAGCTGAGAGCATTCCTTCCAATAGGAGAAAAATGCCTTCTTAAAGCGGGGTTTCATATGATACCCTTAGCTGTTAGGAAAAGTCAGTATCTAAAAAATTACATGAAGACTATGCCTGCATCTTTTTAAAAACTTATTAAAGATTCCAGCATACTGTGCTGTTTATTGCTGCTTAAATGAAAATCCTTGCTTAAAAAAAAAACCTCCTCAAAAATTAATGAAAAAAAGAAATGATTTCACTTCTTTTATGGGAAAAAAAGGTTCATAGAATTTTATTTTTTTGCCTTAGATATCAAAGAAGCCCAGAGTTACATGTTTTGGTGAGTAACAACAATTATTCTTGGCCTATTTTCTGGTACCAAATTCAAATTCAAATATTTCTCATCATTTTAATATCATTCATGTTTTCACTCATTGAACAAAATACTTATTGTGTAGGTTATATAAACCAAATGCTATATGTAATATATGTTGAAAACTGAAAACATAACAAGAGAGAGTTTCTACCTTACAGGGGTTTAGAAATTTCTGGGAATAGGCAAGCAAACCAGTCATGATAACATCATCACACATGCATAAATGTATCCACATCTGTATCTATGTATGGAGAGAGAAGTGAGTCACGAGAGAGTGTAGGACTGACATCCTGGGAGAAGGCATGGAGTAAAGGGGTCTTGGGCATTCCCTGGAGTGCATCAACAATTAAGGGGCTTGCGTAAGTGAGGACCCTCAGTGGAGTCTGAGAAGGAGTTTCATATTCATCACTTTTATCTTTCACTGTAAGTGATCTAAATAATGAAAAAAAATGAATGCATGGACAAACTGACAAAAAAAAAGATGTTTATGTCTCTGATTCATTAAGCCTTGCCAAAGAATAGGGGAAGTCACTGATGTCAAAGTGCCTGGCATGCATGAGGGCAGTGCAGCTGCTTCATTAAATGCCACTGCAGAACTCTCCAAGAAAGCAAATTTTACCATCTCTCCATTGCCCAGTAAGTTGGGCCTGCAAGTTTAATTCTATTATTCTGAGAAAGAGCTTAGGAAAAGCGAGGACAAAGGAAAGGATAAAAGTTGAACTTAGGTTCTTTTTAAAAAACAAGATAATTGCATTTACACACACTCCCCATATGGATTAGTGTTTATATCATAATATCCAGTGTTCATTTAATGAATTTGAATTATCAAGAACAACTTACATTATTATCAGTATATTCTTCTTAAGAAGGCAGGGAAGGATAGGGTACCTTTTAGAAATATTTTTGGTGGAATTTTTGAAATCTAAGAATAAAAGACTATGTCTTCTGAGATACCTGAGAAATTCTACTGTTCAAATAATGCTACTTTCAAGAGTTCCAGATAACAAATAAGATTTTTTGATGATATTAGTAATTGCCACCAACTAGTAAAGTCATAATTTTGCCATATATTATCTCTAATCCTTAAAAGATCACAATAGCTCAGTTTTCTAAAAGAAACTGAGGCTCTGAGAGATTAGGCCACTGGCCCAAGGTCCTAGATTAGGAAGAGATTTGCTGGAAGCCAAAGTCTGGGCTCTTTCTACAATCATGCTTAAGGGGGCCCAGGTGAATCAACACATCAAGCAGTGCTCATCAGTAAAGAGAAAGCTACCTTCACAGCAAAACAAATAGAGTTCAAGAGATAATACATATAGTCTCATTGTGAGAGAACAAGTTAACAACACAAATTTGAAAAGCAAACTAGATAATGGAAACTGGCAAAAATAAGATGAGGAATAATGAGTTACAAATAAAAAGTTATTTAAAACAAACAAAGTCAGATTTGTGATTTTGAGAATGAACCATATCTAATAAAAACGAAAACAGATAATAGGCCCTGTTATGTGAAAGAGAGTAAGTGATCAGCTCTATAGAACCTCCCCAAAGTCAGAACAGGCACAGATGGTTTTAAATTATTGGCCTGTTTTCTTGGGGGGTGGATATTGAAAATAATTAGAGGTTCTCAGCTTCTCAGAACGTATCTGTAGATTTTACCTGAAAGGGCAGGGGATAGGGAGAAGGAGTAGAAGAGTGAACAGTAGACAGAAGAAAAAGTGGTCCTTTGGGGAACTACGTGTAACTCCTAACAGCTATCAAACTCAGCACTGGGAAGGCAGGGTTGGTAGGGACTCTGGTGTTAGAAATAGAATTTTGAGAAATCACAGAGTGGCTGCCAAGGAGGATGTGAGCATTGGAGACCCTAATAGTGACAAAAGGACAACTAGGAAGGAACACTGGGTCAGGGTCCCTTCAACACCCCAAGTTCCAGTACTCTCTGCACTGCAGTTTCCTTAGATATTCAACCCCCAGATGAAATAATGCCTAACCTGAAGACTTCTCTTAAAGATAAAATGACATCAAATATGAGAGTACCTAGCCCAGTGCCATGCACATAACTTGTGTTCAAAACATACAAGTGGAATGTGAATTATAACTGGATGTGAGCAAAACTTTGAGGGATAAAACATATTTTTTTAAAAGTAGAATTATCCTATTATAACAGTGGCTATGTTTAGCAGCCAAAATTAATAACAAATCATGTAGATTCTAAACCTATTACAGATAGTCTCTGACTTACAATGGTTCAACTTATGATTTTTTAACTTTACAATACTATGAAAGTGATAAGCATTCAGTAGAACATCAATAAATGATATGAGATATTCAATACTTTATTACAAAATAGGCTTTGTATTTGATGATTTTGCCCAGCTGTTGGCTAATGTAAGTGTTCTGAGCATGTTTAAGGCAGGCCAGGGTAAGCTATGATATTCAGTAGGTTAGATGTATTAAATGCATTTTCAACTTACGATATTTTCAACTTATGATGGATTTATAGGGACATAAACCCATTCTAAGTTGAGGAACATCCATATTTAAATGAACTTCTGAACATGATAAGTGAAAAAGATGCAAATGTTACTTTTTCTTTTTAAAGTATTAATATACTTTCAAATAAATGAATATGTATGATGAAAAATAAATGTTACGATATTATAATTGATGTCTCCTCTTTTTCATCTCCATAATTATTTCAATTGTTTCATCTTTTAGTAAATGCCAATATTCTTATGAGTTCTTGTTAATGTTTTAATGATAGTAAATTGTGATGTAAATGCTACCTTTATATCTACCTAGAATAACAGTCAGCCAGGCCTAGCACTGTGCTTATCTTTGCAATTCTCACCAATTCTCATCAGTTTAGGACCAATGCAATGCTTGACCGTCATGCTATCCATAATGATAATAATAATAATAATGCCACTATCATAGACTTGCATAGAGCTTTAGAGTTTACAAAACACTTTCACATACAATACTATCTCATTTTTTAATGTAAGACAAGCTGAATGAGTTGGAGACCATATCCAGGTGAGAGTAAATGGAAGCGGAAAATGCTGTATTCCTACAGATCCTATGCTGCCCTTGGGTAGACTGCACCTGCCTCTCAACCAGCAGTGTAATAAGCAAAATGTTTCAAGGTGATTGCCCAGGTACTGGCCCATAACATATTGGGACAATGTAAGATTTTAAAAACCATGGTAATGAGTCTACAGAATATACTCTGTGGGGTTAGAAGCACATGATGGATAAACTTAGTGACAGAGAAGTACCAGTTTATAACATGGATTCATGCAACATTTTTAATTGGTAATATTCAAAACCCCTGAATGCCAATCTTGAGTTCAAACAACAGGTTTTCACCAATTCCAACCATGCCCCAAGCTCTGCCCTTCCCTTTGTGCTTGAGAGCTAAACTCTACAGCTATGACAATGAAAAATAACCTCCTCTTCTCCTGTGTGTGTGTGTGTGTGTGTGTGTGTGTGTGTGTGTGTGTGTGTATTTTAAGTGACCAGCCCTTTATAAAAGTGACAGCCCTTTCTGGGAGCTCCCCTTTCAGGGACACTTCATTCCCTACACACACACTGTATTTGTACCAGGGAGGAATTTCAGACAAGTCTTCCTCTGGCCTTGGCTCACCTCCTGACCACCCGCCCATTAGAGCCTGCAGAATTCCATCCTTTACTAGAAAGAGCTTGCAGAACATTGCGGGGGAAGCACTCCCAGAGCTCGTGTGCTGCACTTGAAGGAGAGAGGCAGGGAGGATGGGGGAAGGAGGGGATTAAAGTCTTGTCTTCCGAGCCTTATCTCCTGCTTGCTTTTGCTAGTCTCTTCTGAGAAATAGCTCCCCTGTGCCTCCAGGCTCCAGTAACACTGAGCACACCTGCTTTCAGCCTCACCTCCAGGCCCCTTTGGCCAGGTCGTTTCTCTGTCTAGATAGTCTTATCTCCTTTTATTTGGTTAACTCCAACTCATCCTCCACATTTCAGCTGAGGTGTCACCTTGCTGAGGAAGCCTCTCTGATCCCCTATTTCCTGGCCTGGAGCTTTTCCTGTGTCCCACACCACCAGAGCCTATTCTAATCAGAATTTCTGTTGTATAGAGTTGAATTGGTTGACTGGCTGTTAAACTTCTTGTAGGCAGGGACTGAGTCTTTTCACCATTGTATACCCAGCTTCTAGCACAAAACTGCAGGCATAGCCAGCCTACAGCAAATATTTGTTGGATAATGACAAGAAAACCTATTTAATTTTTATTTTGTGGCTGAAACGTAATTTAATTTCCTGGTGATATCAATTATATTTAGAAATCAAATAGTAGAACTACATTATTTTCCCAGTATGAGACTTTGTAAATATTTTCTTAGGGTCTAAACATGAGCCTGGTTAGCAATCTTCGTTTTTCCTCCTCCATACCCATATATATTAGAATATAGAACTTTAAAATTTTTTACTTAAAGTTTAAATGGTTGAAGCAATGAATTTGGTTAAGTGTCTAACAATAAAACGCTACAGATGAGTTGAGTTTTTATGCATCATCGTGACATTTATAGGATTACAAATGTAAAATAAGGAATGGCAGGACTATTTCTGATTTATTCTTGCAGTATTTACTTATTTTCAAGTTTCTGCTCTAACGGGGATATTTTTGAGATATTAAATCAATGGATGTATACATTTGATAATCTAAAGTTTCTAGTTTCCTCTAGCTCTTCTACTCATGAAATCAATGGCATTCACATCTTCCCAAGCTATCCTGATACTTTCATGGAACCTTCTTGAAGGTTCAACACTAATGTTCTGGAGGGTGGTAGGGAGTTAGCACTTCCGGGCTTATCTCAGGGGAAAATGCAAGTCCCTCAGGAAAGCCCGTATTCCACAGGGCCCCCACATACTAGGGCTGTGGTGAGAACTACATACTGGCAGCTGGGGGTGGGGCTGGGCAGAGCTCACAGACCTTGTACGGGCTGACAGTGTGTGCAGAACACAGCTAGGGCAAATGGCAGGGTCTCCGGTGGTCAGTGAGTGGCAGATCCAGCACCTCACCCAAACCAGGCAGGTACAACACACAGTACACCCGGTGACTGGACTAAGGGGATGCTCCCCTCCTCAGAAGTGCCCCTCTCAGGTCCACTTCCACCCACAGGTTTAGGAATCCTATCCCTAACACACAGAGGCCCTGGAAAGGAGGAGGAGGAGAGCCTGAATACATGAAAGGGAAGAGAATAAACAGTCCCAAAAGACTGATTCTTTGAATAAATTAAACACTTGTTCACACACAAACTCCAAGACTGAAAGGGCTGAGTTACCCTAATTAGCACTTTTTTTGTTTGTTTTGAGAGAGGATCTCACTCTGCCCCAGGCTAGAGTGCAGTGGTACAGTCATAGCTCACTGCAGCCTTGAACTCCTGGGCTCAAACCGTCTCCCCACTTCAGCTTCCCAAAGTGTTGGGATTACAGGTGTAAGCCACTGTATCTGGCAACTGGCACTTTTAAGTTAAGTCATCCCTACACTCCCCACATCAACAGGTATAAGAGCTCAGAGCAATATGTGGTCAGCTAAAAGGTAACTCAACATTTTCTTTGCACAGCTGGGTAATGGTGTATAAATTTCAACCCAATGTATTTTGTGTTTGTTTGTTTGTTTGTTTGAGACAGAGTCTCGCTCTGTTGCCCAGGTTGGAGTGCAGTGGCACGACCTTGGCTGATTGCAACCTCCGCCTCCTGAGTTCAAGCAATTCTCGTGCCTCAGCCTCCCAAGTAGCTGGGACTACAGGCACGTGCCACCATGCCAGGCTAATGTTTCTATTTTTAGTAGAGATGGGGTCTTGCCATGTTGTCCAGGCTGGTCTTGAACCCCTGACCTCAGGTGATCCATCCACCTTGGCCTCCCAAAGTGCTGGGATTACAGGCGTGAGCCACTGCAGCCAGCCACGTTGTATTGTTGAGCATCCTTTGGAAAAATGTGGCAAAGCAATCATAAAAAAAAATATATATATATATATATATATATATATAATTATATTATTTTTTCAAAGATGAGCTTTTCTAGAATGAACTGAAACATTTCCAGGAAAAAGGTAAACAGAAATAAAGAAACTTGACACTCACATGACATCATACCATCTACAATCCTCTTCTCTCCATCTGTACCAATGGAAACCAATCTTTCTTCAGGGCCTAACCGAAGTATTTCTTCTTCTAAGAAGCCTTCCCCATTACCCCTCCTCCAAAATGCCCAAAATTGAATCTGCAGCTCTAACTTCATGTCTGCGTGTTTCACTAACCTCCCATGTTATCTCTGGCTTTGAATCCTTGGCTCTGCCTCCCAAGAGTCTCATTAAAGGTCGACTGGATAAATGAATGAACATTAATAAGTTATCTCTTAGTAAAATAATGAAAGGCTTCACATTTTTAGACCTCTTGATGATAATGTTACTTGCCCCAAGAATAAAGTCTCCCTTTATGTCAAACATTTAAGAATCTTTGAATATTTAATATACAAGGCAATAATACATTAAAAAAAAAAAGATACTTTCCAAACCATGGGAGAAAAAGGCAACCTAATCCAGTGAGCTCTTGTGAGACTTATGCATCCTGGCAACCAAAAATCAATGTGCATGAATTTCTAATGCATTTGAAAAGCAACAGAGACAGTGGCAATCCTGTTAATATCAACCCAAGGTTAGCTGCTATCTATCTGATTTCCTTTCACATTCAGTCAGTAGACTGCCTTGCAGTGATATATCAACAACCCGTGATGCAAAATTCAGGGAAAGAGCTGACTAATCCTGTCAAGTAATCCAACCTGGAAAAAGGTTTTAAGATCCCCTGTTTCCAGAACATCCACAAACAGCAATTCTGGAATGTACGTACCCGTGGGGTTTCCGACTGGGTCCTGCGAGCCACCATCAGTAACAGCTGTTGCTGAAGGGCACTGACGGCAGGGTCCCCAGAAGACGGATCTTGACTCTCAGAAGTTGTGGTACTGGAGGAGCTGACCTGCATCTCTCTGAGGATGGGCAAAACAAAAGCTTTGGTTACCTGGTAATACCAGAAGTCATCTATTTATTATACACAAACACAAGGACAATAGGAATGCCCAAAGCAGGTAGTGGATGAGACTTTACAACCTTACATAAACAGTTAAGAGTTTAAAATTATGTATACAAGGCTACCTTCAGGTAGAAGGTCAATTACCCTGCATACATTGAAATTACTCAGGCTACCCAGGGTTGCAGTGTGTCATAGGGCAGGTAGGTAGATGCCTGGTGTTCTACAGATGACAACCTTAATTTTTTTAAATATTTAATGCCTGGGGAGGCCTTAGCAACAAGTTCTAGCCTCATATTTTGTAAAAACAAATAGTGGGCTTGATAATTCTCCAGACACCAACCAGGAAGAAACAGAGATGAACACCTCTGCTACCTAGCTGCATCTCCTCTCCACCACACCCCAAAGCAAGGTAAGTACTTATTAGACAAAAGAAATGTCTTGGGTAATTGATCAAGAGGACATGATGGAATTAGTTGTGATCTATATCTAAAATAGTTTTATCTTTAACCACACACAGATTGACAAGACTTAAATTAATAGTAAGCAATCTCATTTTTACAAAGGAAAAAATCCTGGCATTTTTTTCCTTTGCCTCAGAAAGCAAAAACTAGGACATACTTCTCTATCTGATTTTCTAGTAGGGTATCTATAACTTTTAGGAGACAATGTTGGCTGCCTACTCAACAGGCATTTCTCACAGAATGTCTCCTAACATAACTCCATTTTATTAAGTCATCCAAGACTGTTGCTTTGGAAGAGACATGAGGTCCTTCCCTAGCCCCAGGGAAAAATCCTGGTCTTTAAGCCATTCACCCTGGCCAGAGCTTGGCTTTGGAATGAGAAAGAAACACAACTCTAAGAGGTCACTGGGGAGCAAAGAAGAGTTGGCTGGGATTAAGAGAGCTCTCGGACAAATTTTTCTATAGTTCTTAAGTAGTAACAAAAGTAAAAGACAGTCTTTCTCCAGGCCTTTACATGATTCGTGAATAATAAATACTGCTATCGTGATGGACAAACTTGAGTACTGGAGAGCTGAGTGATGGAAGGGAACTAGTTTTTTGATGACAGCATTAAACCTCCGAATTCACCAACCTTGAACAGATCATACCTTTGGGCCTCTTGTGTTCTGGCATAATACATCTCATCGTGCAGCCCATTTTATTACAGAAGGTTACTTGTAGCCCAAATCACACTGTCTAACACAGGCTCCTTAAGAATGCAGATGCTACAGTAACAAAATTCCCTTCTGATTTATAATCTACACCTTTCATGATAAAGTTTCTGACAATCTTTTGGATGTTTCTTTTTCCTAACTCCTTCCTATCATATTCATAAACACACCAATAGTTATTCTGTGAGAATGGTGTTTAAAATACTGTCATACAGCTGGGCGCAGTAGCTGATGCCTGTAATCCCAACACTTTGAGAGGGGGAGGCAGGAGGACTGCTTGAGCCCAGGAGTTCAAGACCAGCCCTGGCAACACAGTGAGACCTAAGCGCTACAAAAATAGAAAAAAAATTAGCTGGGCATGGTGGCACATGCCTGTAGTCCCAGCTACTTGGGAGGCTGAGGTGGGAGGACCACTTGAGCCTGGGAGGTCTAGGCTGCAGTAAGCCATCATCATGCCACTGCACTACAGCCTATGTGAACAGAGTAAGATCCTGTCTCAAAAAAAAAAAAAAAGCAACTTTCATACACACATGTAAATAAACATAAACTTCAATACATTCAATAAAGTCTTCATATAAAGAACCGCTTAGGAAACATAACATGATGAAGTCAGGGTTTAGGACGTGAACCAGGTAGAGTAAGTACGTAGAGTTTGAAAACTTAAAAATCCTGTGCTTCCATTATTTAATGTTTGCTCCTAAAATAATGCTTTTCCTTCTTGTCTATATTAGTGGCATAATCTCTGTCGTTAACAGAGAAAAAGATTAGTTAGATTTATAAAAACAATGTTCATTCAAACTCTTCTGCGTTGTACGGAAGCCACTGAGTAATGTAACTCTGTCATTTCACATCGAAATACAACAGAACTGAAATTGCAATGTTGACACAAATTCAGAGATATCTTAAACGGAGCACATGCCAGAACTTCACTACAAACAAAAGATTAAGCTAACTACATTGTAGGTAAGGTAGGTAATGATCATAAATAGGCAAGAGTGGGAAAAGAAATGTACGCTTCTGTGCAAAAAAGTAGAAGGTGTACAGCACCCTCTATCGCCAACTGAAATAAACTAAGAATTGACTACGACATAATGTGTAACGAATGGCTGTTTTAGAGCAGTCTTCCTCCTACTAAGGTGTCCTGCTAGGAAACATGATACAAAGGAAGTGTCAATCAATACATATCAGCTTAATTTTTCCATATTTCTTAGTACATTTCAGATTGTAAAATAATAATAATAATAAACATCATTTTCCTATATAAGCCATTTAAATATCCTTTAAAAAATCTATGGGTTGATTTTCTATTTAAGATCTTTTGGGTCAGTTCTAGAATTAAACAGAACTAGGTTAAAGTATACTACTCACTATCTGTGACTATAAGCATGTTGTCTTCCTACCTTAAATCCTCCCTATTAAATCAGGAAGATATTTTCCTCGTAGGTATCATTGTGAAAACTAAACCAGACTATGTATGTAAAGCAGTGAACACTGCCTTTCATATATTATGTACTTCATAACCATCCCTGGCCCTTTTTACTTCCTTTTGTTGATATAGGATTGACTTTGCTTTTTCTTATATTAAATAGCAACATAACTCCTATGCTTTTATGCAAATGGTATATTAATTTCAGGTGTCTCTGTTAGCAGGCATGGGGGAAGAGTATCTTGCCCTCAAATCACACCTAATCCTCCTTATTTTATAAAGACAGTCTCAAACAGCATATTAACTTCCCTCTTAATTAACCTCTTTTATGAGGGTTGAGTATTCCAGACAAGGCATGGGCATATAAGAAAGATTCTCTTCTGAGCTTAATGACTGGTATATGTCTGCATCAGAAACCTGTATTGTCATCTGTATTGTCATGTGTATATGGGCTCTCCATTTGGCCAGGAGGAAATGGTTACATGCTTACAGTAAGCATTGCTCAAATGGAGACGTTTCCCTTATGTGATATAATTCTCTGGTGTCCTGATAGTGTAGTTATAATCCAGCTTGCCCACCCAAGTACCAAAGAGACGATGATGTCCACAAAAATCACTGAAACGGACAGGTGGACAGGAGCGCAATCTTTGAATAATTCCAAAGTCTATGTTCTTTGCTAGCGTCTCTTCTCCAAGTATTTGCTGCTTATTCTCTCTCATTTTTTTTAAGTTATAGACTGTGAGCAGCATAATCATCTAAAAAGACAGTATCTTAGTAACTTAAAGCCAAAGCGTTTCCCACATTAATACATATAAAGTGAAAGCGTTAAGTTTCAAGAGACATTTTCTCTTCCTCCAAAACAATAATGGAAATGGAAATATCCCAAGCCTGTAGTAACTATTCTGTGAACTACAGTACACGATACTTAGCACATCTGGTCTCAATTATCCCGTTCTCTGGTGAATCTTTGGTAAACTAGTTTGGTTCAGGGCTATAGCAGAGATAAGTTTATTTAAGCTAGATTGAGCTCCAAGCAATAGCAGAAATAGTGATTAATGGTGGAAATTTCTAAAAGTGCTGCCACTAGAAGGTAATAAAGACGGGCCTGGGGCTAGGATCTAGTCTGGGCCAGAAGAGTGCACTTCTGTATGGAAGGAGTTGGGCCTCAAATTGACCATGACGATATTCCACCATACTGGACTCACCAGGTTTCCACCATCTGAGCTTCTACAAGCAACAGACAGTCAAAATACATGTGCTTCTTCTACACTGTCTCACTGATATTGGAAAAACATTTCTTGAAATTCTTCATCTTCCCCAGAGTTTAAAGACGATAGCCTATCACTCTCAGAGAGAGGGCCTCCCTTTTTCTGCCTCTTTCCTTGTTTTTCAGGCTTCCTCCAGGGACATGGGCACAAGGCGCATAGAGGGACACAGAAATGAAAGTCCCAGCAACATGTTCAACATGTAGGATGTTTAACTAAAGCAGCACTGTTCTGAAAACCATAACCTGTTATTTTGAATTTTAACAGGGATTCTTGTTCAATTCTCCTTTTATGTGACAGTAAAATTTGTGTGAGTATCGGAGAAAAAGGCAGCAACACCGTGGAAGTGAGGCAAGGCTGGGAGCATGGGACCTGACTGCCATCATGTGGCAGCAGTGGCTGTTGCCACCGGAACAGAACCACACTGAGCGGCAGGGCCAATTCTCAGGCTTTCAGAGAAAATGCCCCAGAGAACAAAAGTCTTTCTAGAATCAACCTCACAAACCTTTCGTCCTTATGCCTCTATGCCTGGGTGAAAGTACAATCTCTTTCTAATACGTCTAAGAAAACAAGATAAGAATGACAGTGAAAGGAGCAAAGAGTAAAAAGTGAAAGCCAAAAAGAAAGGACATGGAAATTTGGGAGGGCAGACACTATTCCAAGGTAGACCCAGGTGATCATCTGCTTCTTGCCAATCTTTTCCACCTCCATGTGATCAAAGGCACCAAGAACCCACACAAGTTTTTCAAATTTGAAGCAGCAAATACCTATCTCTCTACTATCCAAATTAAGTGAGTGACGCAGCTATATGCATCTCTCAAATATTTGTAATAAAAGACGAAATTTCTAAACTATAATTGAATGGCACATGGTACTGGGTATATCTAATATCGAGAGAAGTCACAATGTTTTACTCTTCATTTTGAATATCTAGTTGACTTGTTTTATTGCCTCACATTCCTGTTCAGCTATTCCAAGTCAGAGTGTCACTATTATTTCTTCTGACTAAAGTTAAAAACACAGTCTAAACAGACATGATTATTTATTGCCGTTTTCTGCCTGCTTATCTTCTTTGGGAACCAGGTAGATAATTAAACATTGTGGCTTTAGAGGACTTTCCTGAAAGTTAATCCCAATAAGTAAGAGGTTTTGTTGAGATAAGGGTCAGAGAAGCTGATAATGTCAACAAAAGAGTAAGAACTCTGAGGAGGTAGTAAAGATTAAGTACAGGGCTTCAATCCACCTTTGGAGTATGGTACACAGTGGGTTCAGAGATATACGGCAGCTTTCAAACATAAGCCTAATTTATAAACTAAAAATATCTGCTAGATCTTTGCTACGATAATTCAAAAACAAAAGCCATGAATAAGTGAATTCAGATAAATATTTATATTACCATCCTACTCTTATTTTTTAAATAAAAACAAGTTGAAGTTCCATCCTTGATATAAAAATCCCCCAAAAAAGTACTGCAAACAAATTTGCTACAGAATGACTCTTCCATTCAGTAGACTACCATGCCTATTTTGTGAGTTATAGATCCTCAAAATGAATGTAAATATCATGTCTTTCCAATCAGATTTCACTGGGGAGCAGATGATATGCATTTTGCATGCATTTCCATTAGATTGCTTATGACACCGTAAAAGCCAGATTAATACTTAAACATGGTTATAGATTGTCCATAGAAGAAAGCTCTGCTATATTACTTGGATTCATTTATACACAAAGAAATATAAATATTTGCTGAACAAAAAAGAGAAACTATCAAGCTTTAATTACAAGATCTACTGAGTAGTAATAAAACTTCACTCTGCAACAAACCCTCTGCACTCAAAAACACATTTCAACTTTCTAAGCAGCTTCACCTCCAACTTCCTAGGCAGATAGCCTACTTCCACTTTGGTTTTCTAGGCAGATTAGCAATTCCAACTTTCTGGGCAAATTAGTTCATTTTGGCTCTGAACTACTGAATCAATCTTGTGTTCTGGGTAATAAAATACTCAAGTGGATTTATCCTCTGGCAGTTTTTCCTACTAGCAATTCTAAAGGCTGCAATTCAAGCTGTAGTTTCCTCATTCTGGTTTCTGGGGAAAGCAGAACTGTGTTAGGTAATGTTACCAAAGATACCTGCTCTATGGACAGCTATTGTACAACCGGAAAATGCTGCTTATGTTTCTGCAGCAGTCCACAAGAACCGCACTGGTTCCCACAGTGACAGTGGGGCCAAGGAGAGAAATTTGTTTCCTCTCCCAGTTTCCTTCAGGAATCCCCAAAGAGACATGGAAGTTACATTACTAACAATTCCCTATTCATACTTGGGAGTCAGGGATATAAAACTGTCACACGGTAACAAGGCTCAACAATAGCTAAGAGGAATGGCTTTTTTGCCAATAATAAGAATCAGCCGTTTAATGGCCCAGTTGGAGACAGTCCCAGCCACTGAAGTCACCTTATGGGGAAAAGGCTGCTTTTCCAATATATCTTCCATGGCTGAATGGCTTACAGCCCCAAGTAGGCATCCTTCCAAGTTCAAAATCAAAGTTTATGTTTGTTTACTGTAATAGAAAACTTAAAATCTAATTGCATTAAAAGCCAAGGACATAATATTAAAGGACCTACTCTAAAATTATCATACATGCCAAGATGTTGGAATACAACAGGTATTTAAGGGGAATGCCTTAAAATCACATAAATCAACTCATAAAAGCACTAGAGGAAAGGCTTCCATCTGGCCAAAAGTCTCTTTTGTTATATAAAATCAGATATTTTGTTATAAAAATCAAGAAACAAAAGTCAACATCTTTTGGTATATCAAGTCACAGTGCAGTTTACCTGAAGTCCTGCTTCTATCCAAAGACAGTAACAACAGCTAACACTGACTGAGGACCCTCTATGGCAGGCACTGTCCTAAGCACTGCATGTGTACTATCACCTTTATTTTTTATTTTTTATTTTTTTTTGAGACTGAGTCTTGCTCTGTTGCCCTGGCTGGAGTGCAGTGACGTGATCTCGGCTCACCACAACCTCCGCCTCCCAGGTTCAAGCTATTCTCCTGCCTCAGCCTCCCAAGCAGCTGGGACTACAGGCATGTGCCACCATGCCCAGCTAATTTTTTATTTTTAGTAGAGACGGGGTTTCACTATGTTGATCAGGCTGGTCTTGAACTCCTGACCTTGTGATCCGCCCGCCATGGCCTCCCAAAGTGCTGGGATTACAGGCATGAGCCACCACACCAGGCCCACATTTAATTTTTAAAGCAAACCAGTGAATTAATTACAGAAGTATTATCTGCATTTTTTGGTTAGAAAATGGATACTTAAGATGGTTAAGCAAGTTGCATAACGTCAAACAAAAAGTAAATATCAGTGCTGGAATTTGAACCCAGATAAGTCCGAGACAAAACTTGTGTTCACATAGCTAGATACTAAACCTCTGATTTCAAGGAAGTAAAATTCTCAGTGTCAGATTTTCCTCTGTTGTTAGCTTTCATACAGACAGGGAAAATTGTTTCCTTATGAACTAATAAAACACAGGGCTGGACTGGGTGCGGTGACTCATGCCTATAATCCCAGAACTTTGGGAAGGTGAGGAGGGCAAATCACTTTGAGGCCACGAGTTCGAGACCAGCCTAGCCAACATGACAAAACCCCGTCTCTAGCAAAAATACAAAAAATTAGCCAGGTGTGGTGGTGCATGCCTATAATCCCAGCTACTTGAGAGGATGAGGCAGGAGAATTGTTGAACCCAGGAGGCAGAAGTTGTGGTGAGCCGAGATCACATCAATGCACTCCAGCCTAGGCCACAGAGCAAGACCCTGTCTCAAAAAAATTAAAAATAAAAATAATAAAAACTCAGGACTGGAAAATTTAATTTGAGTCTCCACCTCTGATTTCTATGTAGATTGGTTTTAAAAGGCTCATTTTACATGTTTCATTTTGCTGTACCTTCCCACTTATAAAAGGAGAAGATCACATTCTGTGTTCAAATGCATTGATCTGGCAAACTGCTAGTGCTTCTGGCTCTCCCTCCAACCGTCCCACCAAAGATGAGGGATTTATTTGTTGAGGTCGTTTTGATAATCCCACATTCATCAGGGTTGTTTTGCTCTGCAAATAGATTCCCATCACTCCTGCTGCATAAAGAACAAACCACACTCCTCCACCGGGTTTCATGGGCCCCAGGGCCCTACTCCACCCCTCCTGTTTAGCTTCTCCTGCTGTCCCTCACCCCAGAACTCCAACTGGGCCATCTTTGTCATTTCCAATGATTCATTTGATTTAATCCCACATTTATTGAGCACCTACCTATAAAGGGCTAAGCAAAGGCTGGTTTTAGATGTATGCAATCTAGAAAAAGAGATGAGAACCCTCTACAAATAAATGAGATACCAGGGAGACTGTGATCAGCATCCTCCTGGCAGCAACTTGAAGAGATGAATTTCAGAGAGGACTGAGAAGGAAAAGAAGCATAACAGAGGCAGATTGTAACTTGAGCTTTCAAAGATGAGAGTTTCAAAAGGGAGCAATGAGTGGAGAACTTGGCAAGGTGGTTTGGAGGAGCCTGCAGGGAATCACCTAGGGGCATCTGGATGCCGCACATGTGTGCAAGAAGGGCTGAGGGAGGAGGGCAGAGGCTGCTTTCCCACTGGAGGGGGCAGGGCAGAGGCTGACCACAGGTAGCTCACAGGCCACAGCCAACCACGCACAACCTGTGGTCTGTGGTGTTGTTAAAAAAAATTTAAATCGGCTGGGCGTGGTGACTCACGCCTGCAATCCAGCACTTTGAGAGGCCAAGGCAGGCGGATCACGAGGTGAGGAGATTGAGACCATCCTGGCTAACATGTTGAATCCCCGTCTCTACTAAAAATACAAAAAAATTAGCCCGGCTGTGGTGGCGCGCGCCTGTAATCCCAGCTATTCAGGAGGCTGAGGCAGGAGAATCACTTGAACCCAGGAGGCAGAGGTTGCAGTGAGCCCAGATCGCGCCACTGCACTCCAGACTGGGTGACAGACGGAGACTCTATCTCAAAAAACAAAACAAACAAACAAACAAAAGAAACTTAAAATCAACAACATGAAACAAAATACACTTTTAGATACAAATATGCATTTCTAGCTCCCTGTGGAAAAAAACGGAAAATCCTATCACCTGGGACTTATGAGCCATCATAAGTAGACTAACATAGCAGCAGCCCTTCAGATAGGATAAATGTCCTTCAGATGGGATGAATGCCCTTCAGATGGGATGAATGCCCTTCAGATGGGATAAATGCCCTTCAGATGGGATAAATGCCCTTCAGATGGGATAAATGCCCTTCAGATGGGATGAATGCCCTTCAGATGGGATAAATGCCCTTCAGATGGGATAAATGCCCTTCAGATGGGATGAATGCCCTCTGATTTACTGCAGTCATCACCACTCCTCTCTACCATTCCACACTGGGCCAGCTTCACCTATTTATCACATCTGCCTGGGCTCTGAGGAACCCTGAGCTTGTGACGCCATGGTGGGGGATGGGAGCAGGGAGGGAGACTCACCTGTCCACTGGCCACTTAGTATCTACATGAAGCTGAGCACTTTTGGCAATCAGTCTTAGTTTCCTTATCTGTAAAACAGAGCTAGTGTCACCAGCCTTAGTTTTGTTGCACAGAAAAATTAGATAATTTAACATTTAGCTTAGTGTGTAAGTGTTTAACAAATGGTGGCTGTTACTACCCGAACTACTGAAGGAAAGTGCCTCGTTCAGGGCCACGAACTGCCATAATATTGCACATGGGAACACAGGGGTAAGGTACAAGCTACTTGGTCCTTCCATGGGGCAAAATCCTGACCTGCTGGCATTTCACTGGCTCTGCTCTGGTTCCATTCTTTACCTTTACCATTAGAGATACAGCGATGACACCCCCAGGTGCACATGAACTCACACGAGTGCACACATGCACTAGTATGTTAATTCAGAAATTCAAAAATCTAAATTGAGCCTGATAGCTGGTTCTTATTCTGCTTTCTGAGAATTTTCCTTTCAGATAGCCAACCCAAAGATTCCCAAATCATCATTACATCATGGGCTTCTGCAAAAGACAAAGCTTATTACAAATCCAAAGAACTTAGCCCCCCATGAATGGGTAGCACAGTTTTCCATGTGTCAGACTCTGGGGAGATGTTTGAGACAATCGGAATATCCACCCTAAGCCTGTCAGACAGCAGTTTAAATCCAGAAGATCGTCTGACGGACATAGGACTGACTCGTTTTTCCTGAGCACGAATTAAACAGATGGTAGTGCCTTAACTGCTTTTCCAGAGCTGCCTAGGGAACAGCTTCAATGCTGTAATTTTGCTAAGTGAAGGGACTGGAGTTTTGTGCTCATGCATCTGACAGGAAGCACTGTATATGTCCTGTGACCAAATGGGCTGCTGAATGCCACAACACCACATAACAAAGTCCCCTCTATTTTCTATCTTAAGGACTAACTATACATATGATAGCAAACCATGTGTATTATTTCACTTTATCTTTGAAGCACAAGAAAGAGAAGTTACACATGGCAATGTGTCTTTCTTTTCTAGAACTCTTCTTGTTTTTTGGTGTTTTTGCTATGTTTTGTTTTGTTTTTTGTAGAGATGGAGTCTTGCCATGTTGCCCAGGCTGGTCTCAAACCCCGAGACTCAAGTGATCTTCCCACCTCAGCCTTCAAAAGTGCTGAGATTGCCAGGTGTGGTGGCTCACGCCTGTAATCCCAACACTTTGGGAGGCCAAGGCTGGCGGATCACGAGGTCAGGAGTTTTGAGACCAGCCTGGCCAACATGGTGAAACCCTGTCTCTACTAAAAATACAAAAATTAGCCAGGCGTGGGGGCGGGCACCTGTAATCCCAGCTACTGGGAAGGTTGAGGCAGGAGAATCACTTGAACCTGGAAGGCAGAGGTTGCAGTGAGCCAAGATTGCATCACTGTACTCCAGCCTAGGTGAAAGAGCAAAACTCCGTCTCAAAAAAAAAAAAAAAAAAGTGCTGAGATTGCAGGTGTGAGCCACCATGCCCAGCCCTTTTCTAGAACTCTTAAGACCAACACCCTGTCAAATAATGCTGGAGAAAGAGCAGATAGTCAAAGACCCAGAAGTTGCTATCTGAGACTGGTGGACCAAGACCTTGCCCATTGGAGCATTCACACATGAGAAAAGCTAGGGGTGACTAGGGCCATTCAATAAAGATTTTCTTCAAGGGGAAAGTTGCTTGCAAAAAACTTGAACATTTTTCTCTTTACAGGAGCTCAGTAATTAATTCAGTTGCCTTTTCACCAGAAACAGAGTCCTCGGGGTCACCTGTTGATTTTTGCTGCCCGGCTTTTATCTACAGAACTCCAAACATCCCTCGGAGAGCCAGCCCCTTCCAGTCTCGGGGGAACCTCGAATCCAGCTGTGTGTGTGTACGTAAGCCCAGGCCAAGTGCTTGCCTGGTCTTAGTGATTGGGCTCAGGTAATATGGCTCAGTCAGAACCAATCAGACACAATGAGACCTTCCATGGGATCTATGAGAAAGAAGCATACTGTTCTTGCTGGACTTAGATGAGAGAAGACACGAGATCTAGGGTAACGACAGCCGTCTTTTGACCGCCGGGGTGAGGTGTTTGAGAACGGTGTCAAAACAGAGGAGCAGGAGAGCGATGGAAATGGCAAAACTAGGCCCCAATGACTCAATCTGAACCTCTTTATCTAGACACTCCTGAAGACAGATGGACCCAAGACTGTTCAGTTACATCACCGCAAAATCCCCACTTTGCTTAAACCTGTTTGAGATGGGTTTCCTTCCTCTGTAATAGAAAGGGGTCTGACTATTCTGTGGACTTGAAAAGGCACGTAAGAAAGGGCCTGGTATTCTGAGACTCTCCACCAAGCCACACGCCTCACAAGAAAGTTCAGCATCAACACATTCAGTTGCCTCTCAGTCCATCACCCGCGCAGCACCCCAACACAACCTCACCAAAAGCCGTTTCACCAAGGCTGAATGCACTGTGGCAAACCTATGTCCAGGCAGCTGTGGAAATGGAAGGCAGGTTAAATATAAAAGAGCTGTAATCTGGAAAGGAAATGCAGAGGAAATGAAAGAAAGCAGAAGCTGGAGGAAGTTTAATAGAGAGAAATTTACGGGGAGAAAGCAAGTTAACAGGTCATGCTAGAAGAGGCAGAGCCTAAGGAACTGAGGCTTAATGAAAACACTATAGGTCCTCTCTCTCATTTTTACTTGGATACTATAAATTTTCAGTTCTTTAAGGCTCTGCATATATGGCCTTATTCTAACTACCATTACTGACAAATGCAGTTCAAGTGTTTAACCTAGGGGAAAAATGACATATATTTATCCTGGGGGGAAAAAATTAAAAACAAAAATCTTGTAACTTTACTTTGGGATAAAAGAAGAATTTGTTCTAAATTCAGCTTAGAAAAACTTCAACTTTTAGCTGGGAATTGCAGAATAATATGACAGTTTTCAAAGCTGCGTTCTCATGCAATTACATATTTTGTCTGAGAAAGCTGCCATCTTAGATGACTAAACTCATCAAACCATCATAACGTCTAGAATGTCCTGGAGGTTAGAGTAAAGATGTGGACAGCAAACCTCCCTCTCCTCTTGGGTGTCCATTTGCATGGGGACTTTGCATGCCTGTTGGCTGGAGAAGAAGAAGTTTGTGATGTTTGGATTGGTCCATGGTACCTGAGGGAAAAGGAGGAAGAGTGGACGGCAAGTGGGGCATGAACAAGATTTCTGTTTCCCCACAGGAGTGACTTTGGGCACATGCAGTCTGCTTTAATGCAAAGCTTGGGAAGGACTGCATGGCGGGAGAGAGCCATCACCTACGGTTCCCATCAGACCTACCTGAATGGCACTAGCATTCCTAAGCAGGTAAGAAACAGTAGTGGCTTTAAAGAGAGAATGCCCTAAGAAGCTGGTACACGACAGCATTCCACCTGGAGGCCAGAATGCAAGGACAAAGACAGCCTTTACTCTAAGCACACAGGACCCCTCCCCCTGAATTTCCCATAAACCCTTGGGAACACTTTAAACTTGGAAAGACACATGGGGTCACAGACTCTGAAATTAAGGTTTAGATGTGAAGCACAAGACATTCCAGTTACACCGGGAAAGTCTCCCATAAATCCTCAAATATACATATAATTCTAAAGAAGCATACATGAACAATTTACTTCCACACTTAGAGCAACCAACTGAGACATGGCCATATGGATTATCCACAAAGAATCTTGAAGCCCAGGATGAAGGATGAATTCCGTCTGCCACTGACAAGACGTACAGTTTTCCCAACGCACTATTAATCATCGTATGTCCCAGATATGCAAACTAATTTAATATCAACTTCATCAACTAATTAATATCAGCATAATTAAGAAAGTTATTCAAAGCATTCTGAAGTAAAATAGAAAAGATGTGTATCTATCTGTAAAACAGTTTGCCTTTATTACTGTAAATGAGAATAAATGAGAACTAACCACATTTCTAGTCCACTCCTTGGGACAAATTTAATAATGTGTTTGAGAGCTGTATCACCATCTTTCTTGAAGAGAACATTATTATGTTTATACAGAGTTCCTGTCTATTTATACTACCTACATGTTATCTTCATTTTTGGAAGCAGCAACAATGAAAATGGTTTCATTTATTTTTCATTATTTCACAATGTCAGATTTCCTTTTTCTTTCATACAAAACCACATGCCTTAACAACTACAAAGGGATTAACACATTTCTTCTAAACCAGAATCCTCACTTTATCTTCATCGCTGTGTCTCCCAGCAATGCAACAGCTCTCAAGCCTGGAAACAAAGCTCCACTCACCGAGCCTGAGAGAGACAGTCATTATTTGATGGTAGAGGCTGTAAAGGGCCTTCTTTCTGATTTCCAGATTTTAAATAACAGGATCTAATTTCCCCTGTAAAATCAGAAAATTTCAGCAAAGAATATGACATAATTATTCATATAGAATCGTTTCAACTTATACAATTTTCAAGTTAAAAGGAAACTTATTTTGGTCTGTTATAATAACTGTTGACAATCGGGGTCCATTCTTTATATTTCTGCACAGAACATATATCATGAGAAGTTGAAGGATGTCTGAAAGAAACTTTACTAAGAAAATTTTCTTCGACCTGCTTCCCTGCTAATATACTTAGACAAGTTTTGACTTGGTTACTTATTATTTAATTGCTTTTGATAGACTTATTTGTATCATCTCTTAATTCACTTTACATACGTTCTCTTCATGTGTCAGCATGATCTGTGCTAGGATATAACCAGATTTTTTGGTATACGAATACCTCAGTATCATGTGCAAAAAGCAGCTTATTAAGAGTACAGTTTTGATTGGTGGACCGCATGAGACCATCTCTGCCTCCAACTGTGCAGATGAGCAAGTGTCACAGCACACTGACTGATGTGTCAGTCTGTTAATGAGGAAAAGCAAGAGATGGAATTAATTTGCAGAGCTCAATTAGCTCCACTAAAGCAGTTCAGGATACTGAGGTGTGAAAATCCGGTTTCTGCCCAGAAGAGCTCCTACTAGTGCCTTCTTCAGTTGACACAGGAAGCATAATTAACCTTGTCTGTTGTGAGCAGCTGGAAGGTGGCCCTCCAACTCAAAGGTGTTTTCCACCAAGAGAAACTGTAATGACAACCGCAGCCCCTGTGGAGGCTTTCATGTAAGTGCTAATGTTGTTCTTTATGATGTAAAAGTCCCTTATATTTCTGCACATGCAAAAGCATTTAAAACTATAAACTACTGAACTCCAGATAAAGTAACCATATAATTTATTCTCCAAACCAGGATCCTTTTGCGAGTAAAATAACGAGCACTACTGGAGCTATATGATACATAAGCCAAGACCCATCCCAGAAAAACTAGGACCTATATCCCTTATCCGTTGAACTTTGAACTTGCCACTTTATAATTCTCTATGTATACTATTTTAAATCCTTTTTATAACAAGGTGCTGAAAAAATATATCAAGGTCAGGTGTGCAACACAGGTCCAACAAATATTTAGTAAGTACTGGGCATTGCCCTCTTGAAGTTGATAACTGTGAGGGGGAAATGCCATTAATCAAATTATTATACAAGCTGTAATATTATCAAAGAACGAAAGAGATGAGTGTTAAGAGAACAACAAAAACTGATGAAACTGATTAAGTCTGGGGAGTTCAGGAGAGGTGTCCCTGAAAAACTTACCTTAGGACTAAGATCTGAAAAAATCAATAGCACACACTGGGGCACAGCACGTGTAAAGGCCCCGAGATGGGAGGCAGCACACTCCATTCAAAGAACAGTATGTGGGCAACCACAGGGTTAAGTCTTCCAGTTCTCAAGTCTAGTACTCATGCTAAGGTATCACACTGAGTCCTGAGAAAGCTGACAGTTTTCCCTGCTTGTTCATTAGTAAAGAGCTCCAAAGACTCACCATGTTCATCAATGAAGACATGCATAGCATCCACAGATATCTCTTCTTGTACAGATGTTTCAGGCCCACTGATGACTTGCAAGACAGAACTATCTTGTTGGGAAGTTACCCTGTAGATTATCTGTCTTTGTCTATTGCCCTGAAAACTTAACACATATAAAAGTTTCAAAAAAAATGATTAGAAGTTCCTCCTTATCCTTGATAAAGCATTAAAAGCAGAAGCCAGTAAATGAGGCTGTCTCATGCTTTATGACCAAGTGAAACTAAATTAAGTAACTTATCCTTACAAGGCTGTGGTCTTGGCAGGCTGAGTGCATGCGGGGCCGGTGCTAGTATGGTCTTGACTTTGCAAATCTGGTTTTCCTTGCTTAGAACTGTGTCCACTGGGCTTTTCATTTTCCAGGATTTCCTCCTTTTTTTCCTGGGAACAGTTATCTGAAAAACATTGCTTTACTTGTTAATTTAATATAAAATAAATCAATGTGAAAACTCTGGGAAATAAGTTACCAAAACTGAAACAAGAATAGAAAGAAAATCTAAGCAGCTCCTCTGCATGCAAAAGGCTTTTAAATAATTTTTCATTTTTTTAATTATGGAAGTACCTACATATATGTGAAAAACAGAAGTATGTATAAGTTTGAGACATGTTATTTAGGTGTCTACAAACACCTACTATTTTATATACAGGTTGAGGGACTCCCTTGAAATAACTCGGTGACCATACATGTGCCCAGCTGGAAATCACCCATTTAGGTTACATAGGTCTGAAAGGTTCATATCTCATAAATGAATAACTTCAGATTTTAAAAAATTACAAAAACAAATCTGGCTATTTCAGAACAAGGTCCCCTTTACCATTTATAAATCTTATCAGTCTTTCTTCTCACTCTCCAAAACTGAATTTTCAAGCTAAAGCTAGAATTGTCCCCTTCATAAAGCAAATACTTGTTAAGTATAGCTGGGGGCGGGGGTTGTTTTTGTTTGTTTGTTTGTTTGAGACAGGGTCTGGCCCTGTTGCCAAGGCTGGAGGCTGGAGGCTGGAGTGCAATGGTGGAGTCATAGCACGCTGCAGCTTCAACCTCTTGGGCACAAGTGACTCTCCTATCTCTGCCTCCCAAGCAGCTGGGATGACAGGCACATGCCACTACATCCAGCTAATTTTTTAAATTTTATGTAGGTATAGGGGCACGCTATGTTGTTCAGGCTGGTCTTGAACTCCTGTCCTCAAGTGATCCTCCCACCTCAGCCTCCTGAAGTACTGGGATTACAGGCATGAGCCACCACACCCGGCCTGCTGATTTTGAACAATATGCTTAGCACTGTGTAGGACACAGAGAGCTACAATACCTATTCCTTGCCCTGAGAACATTTTAAGATGAATGAGAATTCCAAGATCAATAGGTACTGATTGTTTTTATTTTTTGCATTTTTTGAATCCTCTTTAAACAACAAACCACTAAGGGTCTCAGGTTATACCATTATGCAAAATGGACTGCATATGTCCCTGAGGATCAGCCCTTCCTTTTCTGTGGACACATTCCAACAGTCACTTTTAAGATCAAAAGGACCATTGTACTCCCATGACTTACTCTGAGTAAATGATTGGCTCTTAAGCTCAACAGCCTGTGCCTGAGAGAACAGAATTGAGCCTGAACCTACAAGTTCTTTCAAGACACACCATTCGAAAAGTCTATCAAGATCTGCCTAAGCCCTCAGAAAGCAAAACTGTGTTAGTGTCTGTGGGATATAAATCACATCCTTGCATATATAACAAAGTTATTCATCCTTAAACTTCAAGTAATTAGAGGAGCAATGCTGGCTTCTCTGTGAGTCCTGAACATAAACATTTTCAGCACATCTGTGAAACTACCATAAGAATTTCCTTGGTATGAAAATGTTTGCATTTCATGTGACAGCCTGTCAAGATAGAAGTTTTCACAGTTTTCCAGAAACACATTTATAAGAAAGTGCTATCATAACAAATAGCTTTAGCCAGTAATCATGCCTCATAAAAAATCGCAGAAAGGCATATTGACACAGCTCTCCTGCTTTACACTAAGTGTCTTTGAATTCATTTGTTCACATCTCTTTATCATATCTTAGACTCCTTTTCTCTTAAATGGGTACATTACATAAGTCAACATATGGACGGTTTTTTTCCTTTTTTCCTTAAAAAATACATTTATAGAAATGTTTCTGTTTATAAAAATAGTACACAGTCATTGTATGTAATTTAAAACTATACAAAAGAAAAAACTTTGAATCACTCTTAATCCTGCCATCATGATATTACCACTGGAGCCAATTTGATATATATCACACCAGTCTCTTTTTCCTAGATATACGCACTTTTTTTTTTTTTTACAAAAATGAAGTCATAATGCAGGTATGGTTTTATACCTATATTTATCTTAAACTATTATAAATATTTAATGTTATTGGATATTCATCTACATCATCTAAAAATAGTAGTTATATAATATTACACTGATAATGGTATAATTTAAATAGACCCTGACTATAAATTTACATTGTTTCAATTTTCCATATTATAGACAATTTTTCAATAAGCATTTCTATATACATTCATGATTCTTTCCCTAGAAATTCTTAGAAGTTAGGAGACTGAATATACAAATGGACAATAGGCAGAAACTATTCATAAACGTAGAACTCTGACCAATAATCTGCAGCAACCAGGTGAGAAAATCAACCCATTATCCAGAGTAACCAGCCCAGGAAGCCAATATACTATGCACAAGTCAGGCTTGTAGGAAGTCAGACCACTATTTCTGGCAAACAATCCAGGAAGCCAAACAATAACCCCCATAATAATTAGCCCGAAATGGCCAGGACTTGATTCATAACTGATAGCTTCCCTAATGTCTGTCCCTGCTTCCAACTTAGGACCACCCAAAGAAAACCAAACCAAACCAAGCACATAGGATGACTCACTCCTAGTCCAGCCACCTCCAGCTTCCTAATGCCCATAACCTCCAATCAGGGCACATCCGAAGCCTTTCCTTTTTTTCCACTATAAAGCTTTCTCATTCAAGTTGCCTTTAAGTCTCTGCTGAACCCAAGCGATGACCGCTGACTCCCTTGCTATAAGCAAGCTCTGAATAAATAGACTTTGCTTGTTCTCATGTGGGCGGTCCTCATTTATTTCCACAAAGTAAAATAAAATTGTGTCAAACAAAAAAGCAAACAAACATGGTTTAAAGGCTTTTCAAAAGTGTGTGGTTTTCCATAGCCTTGAATTCTAGGATATTTCTGAGACCTGAGAATAATCCTAAGGCGCTTTGTGAAGAGAACCTGGGCTGGAAATAAGAGTACATTAGAGAGAACTGGAGAATTGTGTATCTTTTTCTAGTCAGGTCCAAGTTCAAGCACTGTCCTACTAATGAGCAGGAAAAAGATTAGAGAACATTTCCTAAGCTGCTAATATCATTAAACACCCAACATGTTGTTTTATAAACACACTCAAAAACTGGGTTTTCAGATTATAATAACAAATACTTTAGTGAAAGAAGAGTAAGGATATTACCAGTCTCAAAGATACATGGCATCACTGAAAAACCATCTAATTTGCCACCTTTGACGTTGATGGCCTTCTACGAGCTAAAAGATTCACTGTCTCTTTCTTCAATTAAAATCCTCTGTCCTTTCCTAAAAGAAGCATGTAATTTATTCCAACTCCTCCCTTCCTGCTGTACCTTCAAGTTCTTGATAACTAAGCCTATCTCTTCCCATAGAATACCTCATATCTCCCTGCACACAACCTCAATTTCCAGTTTAACCCTTCTGATTGAATGTGGCTGGCTGAAAAAATTAAGAAGAGCAAAAACTCAAGTAGGCAAACCAAATAAACTTTACATACAGCCTGAGGGGAAAACAAAAATAAAAGACTAAAATTGATCAAATAGCAAAATTTTTCACATATTTTCCTAATTGAATCCTCACAATAAATCTACAACATATTATGATTCCTGCTCTGTAGAAGAAACTCCAACACAGATGGATTTGATCAATTGTCCAAGCTCAACCAGCTGGTATTACTGAACCAAAATCTGGCCTTGGGCTATCTGATTCCAAAGTCAGTGCTCTATCCACTGGACACACTGCTTCTGGGAAGGCCTTCATGCGCTCTGGGTTATCACTGGCTAATACAGTAGCCAATAGCCACATGGCTACTTAAATGAATTAAAATCTAATGAAATTAAAAATGCCAGTTCTCATCTACACAACCCCCTTTTAAAGTATTAAATAGCTACCTGTGGCCACTGGCTACCATATTGGACTGCAGATATGGAATATTTCTATCACTGCAGAAAATTTTATTGGACAGTGCTAGCCTAGAGGTATGAATCTTTATATTAGATAGATGATAAACACCCAAATCTTTAAATACAAAAGTTTTTATCTCAGGTTACTCCTGCTTTATATACCGCCCTGTCTGTTAAAAAGTTTAACTGAATCAGAAAAAATTGCTCAGAGCAACCAGTATGGAGCCAGAGGAGCTCCTGGCTGTCCAGAAAGCAGAGGAAAAATCCCAGCACTAAGAAACGTTACTACCTACAGCACAGAAAATGAGCTACCATATGCAAACACAACTTTCAGTCAGCATTCCTACCATACAGATGCTATCTCAATACAGATCTATGTAGAAATGATATGCTCAGAAATCACAGCAGTAACAGAATTTAAAGCTAAAAGACCTTATAAAAGCTCTAGTCCAGTAACATCATTTTATCCATGAGGAAACTGAGGCCCAGAGACATTAAGTAACCTGAAAATAAATGTACCTTATCTTCATATAGGAAATATCATTTAATTTTTATGAGCAAGGACTGTGGAACAAGACTGCCTGGAATCAAATCTCAGTTCCAGCACCTCCTGAACTTACTAGATACTTGGGAAAGCAAGTGAAAATTTCTGAGACTCATCCGAAGAACAGGAAGGATGATGGTATATCCATAACGTAAAGTTATATAAGGAGTAAGTGAGTTAATATGAGAGTAACTGTATAATTTATCATCTAAACTGGGGACTCTTTTGAGAGACAAAGTCAGTGCTCTTAATAATTATGTTGGCAAAACATGTGTAAATGAGAACCCTTCCAGGCAAACCACAAGGTACAGTCACCCTCGTTAATACATGCAAAGTGCTTAGAACACTGCCTGGCATAAATTAAGAGCGGCAGAAGTGTTTGTTATTATTATGTGTACAACATGGGATAATTAGCGGATTCTGTATTTTATAATAGAACTCAGCAGGAAAAGTAGATTCACTTCACAGAAATTTGTCTTAGAATCAACTTTCCCAGAAGGCATCTATTCCATAAAGTAAGAAATATCTATTGCGAGTACTTGCCACAGTAGTAAAATATAATTGCTTATTTCTCTGGGAGTAAATAGTCTTGCCTTCTATAGGGAAGCAAAAAAATTATGACAATGCCTTAAGTGTCCTGGTAGAGTAGGACAATATATGTATACATGTTCATCACAGAGCTTAGTATCGGTACATTCAGCAAATATTGATGAGAAAGCCAAGCAACAAACGATTGCCCAAGAGTTGTCTCACTATTTGCAAAATCAAATTACACAAGGCAAATGGCAAAAAGGTGTATTGCCTTCTATGTCATCATCAGAACGGAAATGACATGGAATCGCACCTCGGAGAAGCCCACTTTCTTCATTCTGCTCAGCTGAGCCATTCAGTTGACTGGATGCCGTCATCTTGGAAGTATTAATGGATTCTAACAGGGAGACAAATTCCAGGAAGTTGGACTCATTTGGCATTTGTCCTTCCTTAGCCTCTAGGTCAGATTTGGAAGTTGGCATTGTTTTCTCTGTATCGTTAACAATTTCTGCAGAACTTTTACTCAAGAAGACATCTGTCCCACTGTCCACACTGAGCACCCGGGCATGCCTCTTTTCATGGCTGGACTTACAAGACGATGGGTCAAGGTTAGTCTGGCCTTCCTTCCCCACCTTAGACTCGGAGCCTGTATCAGGTGTAAGCCGGGACACCGATTCCCAGGGTTCCCGTGATGAAGAACTGTGATCCTTGATGGCATTTCCCCCCTCCCCAGATCCGTAGCCAGAACACTGATTGGTGGATACCCTCGTCTTCAGTCTCTCTGGAGTCCTTTCACTTCCATTGCCTTCGGGACAGGGAACACCTCCTCCCCCACCCTCAGGCAGGTCCAGGGTGATTACAGGAATTGAGATCTGCTCGGCATTTGGAGAACCGGCCGCCCCTGGGTTAGTGGGCTCAGCGTCAGACTTTACACTGGTCTTCTCTGTGCCAACCACCCTCAGGTGGAGGGAGCTTTCCAAATCTGTCATGGAGTTTGGGGTACTGCTCATCGTGATAACAATTTTTATGGGCTCATGTAGACTCAGTGGGTCTCCGGGTTGAGAAGTATCGATGAGAGTAACAGCTACCTCACTATCTGAGGAGTCCACTTCCTGGTGCAAGGGCAGGTCCCCCTGGCAGGAGGTATCTACCTGACAGGATGTGTCTGCTGGCTCCTCCACAGGCTTGGCCACGATGGTGTCACATTGAGGGCAGCTGCTGCTCAGGCTGTCCTGAGGTGACTTGCTTTGTACCCGTTCCCTTATGGAGCCCCGGGGACAACTGACAGGTTCTGGAATCAGGACTGAATTCTCACTCCCCCACGGCTGGAAAGAAACGTCTGTTTCTAGTAAGTCATACTGAGACAAAGACAGGTGGGGCAACTTCTTCAAGGGTCCCTTATCCACTAAGCCACCCTCGGATCTGTGGCGCAAAGGAGGCTGCCCCTTGCCTCCTCTTTCCTTTCCTTTACCATTGATGAGAGTTTCTGTGGCAACTGGTTTTACAGGTATTACTGACTTGGTCGTGGTTTCCAGCATGTGTGCTTGAGACGCAGGTAAGCTTTCCACTTTGATACCAGGTGAGGTAGATGACACTGGTGCTATGGGATGGTCTTCTAATAGAATGACACCTGAAATGACACATGGCAACTTTATTAGCATCAGAAATGAATGAGTAATGCCCAAGAGCAAGACCTAATGAATAATAACAAAACTAAAACAGCACCAGCAACTAATGGAATTAGATACTTTTTTAATTTTACTTTAAGTTCTGGGTTACATGTGCAGAACATGCAGGTTTGTTACACGGGTATACATGTACCATGGTGGTTTGGTGCACCTGTCAACCCGTCATCTAGGTTTTCAGCCCTGCATGCATTAGGTATTTGTCCTAATGCTATCTCTCCCCTTGCCCCCCACCTCTGACAGGCCCCAGTGTGTGATGTTCCCCTCCCTGTGTCCATGTGTTCTCATTATTCAACTCCCATTTATGAGTGAGTTTAGTTTTCTGTTCCTGTGTTAGTTTGCTGAGAATGATGGTTTCCAGCTTCATCCATGACCCTGCAAAGAACATGAACTCATTCTTATTTACGGCTGCATTGATACTTATTTTTTAAAATAACACTCCCACTGTGAAATTATTCTTGAAACACAACAATAAAAATAAAACAAATGAAAAGCAATACAGTATAACAACTATATATATAGCATTTACATTGTATTAGGTATTATAAATAATTTAGAGATAATTTAAAGTATACAGGAGGATGTGTGTAGGTTACAAGCAAATACTATGCTGTTTTATATAAGAGACGTGAGCAACATCCACAGATTTTGTTATCCACGGGGGTCCTGGAACCAAATCCCCTAAAATACTGTAGAACACCACCAACTAGGATGGTATCTTTTATAAGATTTGACTAAGGAAAAAACAGAATTCTTTGCTTTACTGCAGTGTTGCTAAGAAACACTGGATTTAGTAGCCAGGTATGGGTTTAAATGCTACCTGTACATTTTACATACTATGACTCAGAATGAAATAATGTATGTAAAACTTCTACTGCAATTCTTAGTACAAGTAAAAAATAGAAAATTATTGTTTTAATTGGAATGGTGAAATTAAAAGGCCAGACCAGATATTCAAAGTATGTAAGATTATTATAGCACACCTAATCTGGAAGAATATGTTTCATATGAAGAAAAAGGTATGTGCTTGTATATGTGTATATAAAACACATAAAGTAACGTTGTTATGAAGCTGTACGTGCAACTAAAATATTAGAAGTCTAACTCATGTGAATTTATTTCAGTAGCAATAATATAGAAAAAATATGGATAATCCTTTACATATTGTTATAATGGGATACAACTGAATGATGAAAAAAGAAACTTCATTTTAGGGGTTCAGGGCTATGGTGCTAATTTCAGCTATTTTCTAGAGCGAATTAAACTTTACATTATTTTCAAAATTGAAATAGTGCACAAAATTTGTCTTTGTAGTAGTGGAAAAGAAAATAGAATTGCAGAGAAAGGAAGGAATTAATTCAGGCCTCCAAAAGATCTTTTCTAAGCCTTCTGCAGGTAGTCAAAAGACAAAAAAAAAAAAGTTAGTAAAAATGTAAAACAAAAATTGTTTAAGTTAAAAGAAAGATCCCCCAAAACAAAATCTGTAACTTGAAAGAAAGGCAGATATGCAGAATGCTGTACAATTTATCCTGTCATTTTTTGATGTATATGCTATAATACAAATTTTTATATGGATGATAATTTATCATCAATAAAAAACTTATATGTCTGCTCTTTATAAGCCATATGAAATGAGGCATAGACTGGAGAAATGACAATGAATTATGATCAACAAAATATCACAATTTGAATTAAGACTTGATATACAAATACCGATGAGAAAAAATTAAAATTAAGAGTTAAAGAAACAAAGTCAAAATATAACTATGCAGTCTTAGGTATAGTTCTTATTTTCAATTAATCCACTGGCATTCTGTTTTATAAAAATATTTCTCACTTCACTGAGGATAGTGCTGTGATAAAATATAAATGATTAACAGTTTACCTTTGAGATCTTCTACAGTTTCCTGTGCTGACAACTCCTACACAAATGAAAGAAACAAAAATCAATAGATGACTCAGCTGACCGTCCATTTCCAGACAGTCGGCAATAACTGACAGCAGTCACTGATTTTCTAAATGGCATGTAGGGGAGAGACAATACAGTGTTCACTCTCCTTAAGCTTCTATAAAATGGGGCCCAGAATGGATACAAACATATGTAAATGTGGACATTCAACCGAGACAACTGTACTGTGACAAAGGGAGATTTGCTACTAAGAAAGTAAGCAAAGAAGGAAGAAGCCACTACTTACACTATAGTGAATGGAGCTCAACAAAGTTAATCTAGAAAAAAGGTGATTTATTGACTTCCCAAAAAGACAAGTGTGATTTAAAATGGAAAGCAGAGGTGATATCCATTTCAGGTGGAAGGCACTGCAGATATGATGACTTAAATGAATGACAACAGAAAGAAGCAAAGGCCTACATATTGGTTCTCTGCCCAGTGTGGTTGACCCAGCAGCGCAGGTGGACGGCAGGGAAGGCCAGAGAGTGTGCTTTGAACACACGACTGGGCATTTATTTTATGGTCCCAAGGGCACCCTTCAGGCCATTTCCAGACCCTGGGATGTGATATTCCACTGTACACGGGCCAGTGATTACAGCATGCAAGCTACAATCACTGCTGCTGAACACTCCCATTCTAGGTGAGATCAACATCGAAATCACATGAAGAGGGTGAAACAGGAAAGAAGACCACTAACCAATGGCCCAGAAGAGTGATGAGAGGTTATGCTTTGCCCTCTGGAGCTGCAGCGGAGGGGAGGCGTGGAGAGGTTTCGACTGGCCTCTTCCTTTTTGCCATTGTGAATCTGCCTATTATTGCTAACCCAACATGAGAAACACAAGAGCAGTGAGCGATATTATCAAACAGAAGCATGACTCTTTTAGTACTAGTCTAAAAACTTTTTTTCCTAGAGTCCATTTTGTTATATTCCTTACATATAAATCTTTTTTTGTTGTTGTTAAGAGACAGGGCTTCGCTCTGTCTGGGTAGACTGGAATGCAGTGGCACGATCATGGCTCACTGCAGCCTCAAGCTCCTGGACTCAAGTGATCCTCCCACCTCAACCTCCCAAAATGCAAGGTTTACAGGCATAAGCCACCATCTGCAGCAGATAAATCTTATAATAAACATTATTTTTAAATTAGAGGACATGCTATCTTAAGGAGCTATAAGAAATAATACAAGAATGGTGAAAAGAATGCTAACTCAAGAATTACTCTTAATATTTCAGTTCTATGTAATGTATTACTTTTATATCAACAAACACAAATGCTGTTCTTTAAAATACTCTGGCATGCTCTAAGCATTTAAATAACAACATTAAAAGCAGTGAAGGGAAATTTTTTGCAGTGCTAAGCCTAAGGCAAATGAATTCTAGATCTTATGAGAAGGTCATATTGACTTCCCAAAAAGACATTTATTGGGAAGCCAGTTAAACCATCTTGATTATGAATATCAATTTTATGCTTAAGTATATGCTGAAATATAAGAAAAATGCATATATTTCTGTCTGCCTATACTAGTAATTTCATAAACACTGATAAAAAACTTATTTTAATCAAGAGCAAAACATTTACATTTTGAAGTGTCACATTAATTGAAAATATTACCTTGGATTTCTGTGATTAGTTATGTGTTCACCTTTGGCCTCCTTGTCTTTATTTGGCTTTTCTTCCTTTCTGGAGGGCTTTTGCTGAATTACTTCTCCTTTGTCAAACATGAGGTGTAGGCGATAACTGACCAGTTTGATTATTGTGAAGAATATAGTCACTGCACTGCAGTAGAAAAATACAATGATCGCATTTGGAGGAAAAGCCTGAAGAAAGGAAAAGACAGAGAAAAATCATTTGCTTTTAAGATTTTCTTTCTGTTTTAAATCTGGAAGCATTTTTAGACTATCTATTGAATATAAATTAGGCAAGATTTCAAATTAGACTAATTTTTTAAGTTTTCCTGGTTAAAATACTTGAGGAGAAAGAGCTGCTTTTTATTTTTTGAAGTCTTTTTTGTTTCTCAGGTTCTGTAGTAGTTGCACTGATAACCAACATTTGATTTGCAGGCAGGAACCCCACAGAACAAAAGATATATTCGAGGAAACCTCTCCATTTTTTTTTTTTTTTTTTTTTGAGACAGTGTCTCACTGTATCACCCAGGCTTGAGTGCAGTGGCAAGATCTCGGCTCACTGCAACCTCCGCCTCCCGGGCTCAGACAATTATCCTGCCTCAGCCTCCCGAGGAGCTGGGATTACAGGCATTCACCACCATGCCCGGCTAATTTTTGTATTTTTAATAGAGACAGGATTTCATTATGTTGGCCAGGCTGGTCTCGAACTCCTGACCTCAGGTGATCCGCCCACTTCGACCTCTCAAAGTGCTGAGATTAAAGGTGTGAGCCACTGTACCCGGCCTCCATGTTTGATAAGCTCTTATCTATGGCCTAATCCAATGCATCTTCCTATGCAGCTCATCTTAAAGGCCAGAGATGTATTTTGTTTTCAACAACAAAACACAAAAAGCCTTGTGGAGAACAGAAGGAAAAAGAAGGGAGAAAGGTTAGGGTAACCACTCCCCCATTCCCCTCCCTAACCTCCCACTGCGATAACGCCTGCAGGCCATGGATTTCCCTAGGGTTGTATTGCACACAGGGAACCACAAAAGGGTACTACTTCCAAAAGGAAGAGGGATATTTCCAGCAGAGACAAATGATCTGAGCATGGCGACCATAGTGAGGTTCAGCTCAATTCTATGCAATCCCTTCAAGAAACAAAACGAAAAGAATCACTGGGACCCGTGGAGTTGTCCCACTCTGTAGCATCTCCCATATACCTTCCTAATTCTCTCCAGGACCATGGACTATCACACGTTCTCTGGTCCTTCCTAAACTACATTCCTATTCTTTGGGATGGAAAGAGATCCCCAAGTGTCCCAAGGTGATATCCAGGACAGCCTCAATGATTCGCAAGACCATTTTATCAATGGACTTCCCTAAAGAATATCAGAAATCCAGTGATCCGTGTAGCTGGTGCCTCAACCTAAACATAGCTAGGCTTGCAGACAGCAGGGCCCAGTCCATATCCATGCCTAAGCAGACCCTGTACAGCTTGCCGTGGTCCCATGCAAGAGTCTATCTTCCAAGTTGGACTGTCCCTAAAATGGAATAGCCAAACAGAGCACAAAAAAGAAAGAGGAAGATGATCAACAAGTAAAAGATAAAGTCAGAGATTTTCACCATCACTTAACTCGCTCTTATTATGTCATGGGGGGAAAAGTCCACAAATAAATATAAAGCAAGCAATAAATAAGTGACGGAATAACTATATAAGATGATACAAGCTAGATAATAAAGCCAGGTCCACTACCTGGCAGCAGATAAGGTTTATATTTACAAAAGGTGCATTTGTAAATATAAACCTTATATTTACATCCTAAATACTACTAATACGTTAAAATACTACTAATTTAAATACCACTAAATTAAATACTACTAATAGTTTTGGGTTTCAAAAATTTAAGCTAAATCTAGAGAGTTAATTTGAAGAGGGTAAGAAGGAAAAGAAAACCTGCAGATGTCCGTGAAAACAGATTATTGTTATATAAAAATGATATTCCGCCAGGCATAGTGGCTCATGCCTGTAATCTCAGCACTTTGGGAGGCCAAGGCAGAAGGATTGCTTGAGCCCAAGAGTTCAAGAGCAGCCTGGGCAACATAGTGAGACCCCCCCTCCGATCTCTACAAAATTTAAAAATTAGCCAGGTGTGGTGGCATGCACCTATAGTCCTTGCTACTGGGGAGGCTGAGGTGGGAGGACCTCTTGAGCCTAGGAGTTCAAGTTTACAGTGAGCTATAATCATGCCACTGTACTCCTCCTGCCTGTGCTACCAAGTGAGACCCTCTCTAAAAAAAAAAAAGGAATTATATTCAAGAGATTGTTGAATTTTCATGTAACTAGGGTTTCATAGTACTCTAGTCAGCAAGGGTAGCAAAGAGAGTTAGTGATCACTAAATACTCCATCCTCTCCTCTTCATTTCCTAGCTTCTCTTGCAGTGAGGCTGAGGCCATATGACTACTTTTGCCCAATGGACAATGAGCACAAGTGCTGGCTTAGACAATTATGAGCTAGGTGCCTCCCGCATCCCACTCTTTTCCTCTTTACTTGGTGACCTCAGAAGACATGTTTTCCAGATGATATGTCTATAAGATGATGCAGTTTCTTTCAGACTAGGTACCTGAGTAACTCTGCGGAGCAAGGCCCCTATAAACACAAGATGAGCCCATAACGGAATAAGTAGTAAACTTTTGAGTCATTAAACCACTGAGATTTGGAGTTGTGGCCGCTGTGGAAGCTAGCAATACTTAATTAATAACAGGGGGGTCCATTTTCATGAGGAATCTTCCATTCAAATTAGATTAGAGATAAATTGAGAAAACCCTAAGGCACTGAGAAAAGAATGGAAGGGAAGAAGAGTAAGAGATAAAAAATTGTATAGGGCTCTTGGGAAAATTCACTTAGAAAAAAACTGGCATGCCCCAATATTCAGAGAGATATTGCTTTTCAGTTTATCCTCATAAATTTAGGCTATAGTGTAAGCTTGGTAATACTGAAATTAAGTGAGGGCAAGAAGTTAGAATTTGAAGTTACCATGAGTACTAGCATCTAGCTAGCAACCCAAGTGAGAACAGGCCCTTGCCTCATCCTCTATAAAGGACCACTTGGCACTTTGTCATATCTGCAGCCCATGGACCTGACCAGACCATAGTGGGAGACAGAGATTTTACTGAAAATTTTCTGGAAGAAAGGTTTTACAGCATGCTATGCATGGTACATTGTTTCTCCCCAAACTCCCTGATCTCTTAATTCCTTTAAAAACCTCTCCCTAGCCAGGTGCAGCAGCACGTGCCTGTAATCCGAGCTTCTCAAAAGGCTGAGGCAGGAGGATCTCTTGAGCCCAGGAGTTCAAGACCAGCCTAGACAACATAGAGAGACCCTGTCTTATTCATAATTAATTAATTAATTAATACCTCTCCCTTCAGTAGACCCTCCAAATTGAATCTAGCATCTCCAAACACTCCTTTCTTACGCCATGCAATTATGCTCTTCCGAGGCTCCTCCAATTCCACATGCCCAGGGACATCCCTGAAAATCACTTGCAAGGCCATTTGACTGCAGACATCATCATACTCAGGAAACAGAAGACCTCTAGCTTCCAGTATTTTCTCTCCATAGAGGTGTGAATGCAGGCAGAGAAAGAAGGCTTAGGAAGGGATTCGCCATAGATGAGCAGTTATGAATTGTTCCTAAATTTTCCCCTTGATGTAAGGTATACTCATATTTTTGAATAGCCGTTTTCTTGTTCTAAGGGAAATTACAAGTTCTTATTTCTATGAGCTTTTCATTTTAACACATTCTAGTTAACAATGGGAGGCAACATTTTTCAACATCATATCCTTGGCCAAAGAAAAGTTTTATGTTGTTTTCTGACCCATTATTAATATAACTAGTATTATAATGACTCATTTGACCAAGGTTTTATGACAACATTTCATGAAAAACAACACACTGTTACCAACTAAGCAGTTACAGTTCTTCCCATTGGACCCACCTCTGTCTGTTTCTTCAGGCTCATAGCTCTAGCTGCCTCACAGTCACTACTCTGTTTTTTTTTCTCTCTTTTCTTTAAAACTTTTGTGGCCAGGCACAGTGGCTCACACCTGTAATCCCAGCACTTTGGGAGGCCAAGGTGGGCGGATCACCTAAGGTCAGGAGTTCAAGACCAGCCTGGCCAACGTGATGAAACCCAGTCTACTAAAAACACAAAAATTAGCCAGGCGTGGTGGTGCATGCTTGAAATCCCAGCTACTCGGGAGACTAAGGCAGGAGAATCACTTGAACGTGGGAGGCAGAGGTTGCAATGAGCCAAGATCGCACGCACCATTGCACTCTAGCCTGGGCGACAAGAGCGAAACTCCATCTCACAAAAAACAAACAAAAAAAAACTTTTGTTTTACTGTGGTAAAATATATATAATACAAAATTTACCATCGTAACCATTTTAAAATGTAGAGCTGAGGAGTGATAATTACACTTGCCTGTGTGCTACCGTCACCACCATCCATCTCCAGAATTTTTATCTTCCCAAACTGAAACTGTACCCATTAAACACTAACTCCCCATTCTCCCCACCCCCCATCCCCTGGCAACCACCGTTCTACTTTCTGTCTCTATGATTTTGACCACTCTAGATAAATCATATAATTAGAATCATATAGTACATGACCTTTTGTGACTGTCTTACTTCACTAAGCATAATGTGTTTAAGGCTCATCCACACTGTAGCCTGTGTCAGAATTTCCTTCTTTTTTAAGGCTGAGTAATATTTCATTGTATGGCTAGAACACATTTTGTTTATTCATTCATCCATTGGTGGACATTTGGGTTCCATCTACCTTTTGGCTACTGTGAATAACGCTGCTCTCAACATGGGTGTACACATATCTGAAGCCCTGCTTTCAGTTCTTTTGAGTATATACCCCAAAAGAGGAATATCTGGATCACATGATAATTCGATGTTTAGTTTTTTTTTTAAGACAGTCTTGCTCTGTTGTTCAGGCTGGAGTGCAGTGGCACAATCTTGACTCACTGCAATCTCTGCGTCCCGAGTTGAAGCAATTCTCCTGCCTCAGCCTCATGAGTAGCTGGGACTACAGGCGCGCACCACCAAGCCCAGCTAATTTTTGTATTTTTAGTAGAGACTAGGTTTCACCATGTTGGCCAGGCTGGCAGCAAACTCCCAACCTCAGGTGATCCACTCGCCTTGGCCTCCTAAAGTGCTGGGGTTACAGGCTTGAGCCACCGCGCCTGGTTTATGTTTAATTTTTGGAGGAACTGCCTCACCATTTTCCATAGCAGCTGTGCTGTGTTACATCACTCTGGTTTTTAACTACAGGCCAATGGGTTTTGCCTCCCATCTTTTGAATGGCCTGGAGAGATAAAAAATCTGGCTGAGTGAGGATTAGCTATAAGTAATGCCCATGCCCAGTGAGAATCAACCGCTGCTGAGGGTTTCTGTTTGCAGACATAAAGAAGGACACTCTTGGGGGCTCATCCTTTACTGATGTGTACCTCATAAGGGTACTTTATCACTCGGCTTTCACAAGCTAATTTTGAAGAAGTCTTCTGGAAATGAATAGATTCATTCTGCACATGAAGAAGCTGGGTGTAAAGTGGGTCATGCTGCAGCGTTGATGAGCTCACAGAACTCCTCCTTTCTGGAAGTTACCTACCTAGCAACTTCAATGACCTGACTGAGAACCAGAGACTCAGGAGAAAGTAATAAAAGTGTGGCCTTCCTGGGCAGTCAGAACACATCACTGTTAGAGGGAGACAATTCCTCCCCACTTCTTGGTTTCAAAAGAGGGGATGATTCTCTCTACATAGCCAGCCTCTCCACCCCCATGACTTCCTCCTCCCTTAGTGACTTCTGATGAGTGATTTGGGGAGCCAGAACTGGGCATGTCTTTCTCATGCCCTCCCCTTCTTCTCTCTCAGGAGCTGGTTGGGCCAAGAAGGTGTGTCTGGGTGGCTCCTATACTGCAAGGCCTCCAGTGTCAGGCCCCAAGTAAAGAGGCCCAAGGCTGTGCATGGTGCCCCTGACCAAGTGGGTAAGTCTCTATCACTCTGGGGTCCACAGTGAGGAAGTCCACTTGCCTGCAGATATTAATATCAGTCACATTCCCAAATATCAGTTCATTCACACTAAAGGTGATCTTCTGAATTCCTTATGTTTGACTCTTTTGTCTCCCTTAAGTGCCTCAGAAGAGGATGTGTTATCTATGGGGACACCAAGTCTATGAATAAAGTTCTTGAACTTAACTGGAAAGGGAGCTGCTCAGAGCTTCACTAGATGTTCTGTGCTCTTGGTCTAAGCATAATTCATTTACCTGGCACATAATAAGCCTAATAAACTCAGTTTCCCAGCCCACAGCAGAAACTAGAAGGGAAAATGAGGAATGAACAGAAGTAGGCACAATAATGTAACAAGACCTAATAAATGACAGCTGAAGTCTTGGGAGAAGTAAAACTAGAAAAAAGAAAACGCACCCATAAAAAAGCAAAGGCACTTCTCCAATTATTTTCTGAGACACAAATACACCTCAGTTATGTCTGAGGCTATCACTACAATAGCATAATATCTAGGATTACAAAGAAAATGGTCTGTGATATTCAATATACTGTCAGAGAAGGCAGGGACATTTAAAACTATCCCATCAATGTGGTTAAAGTAAATTGAGTTTTCCTGCTTAAAGGTTAAGTTTCAAATAATTTGAAAAATGTTTTTACTCAGAATATGTGGCCTAATAAATGAAGCATTAATCTGCCAAACATAACACTCACACTCAAGTTTGACATTTATATGCCCATCCGAGAGTGCTGGGATGATTGTGCTGTATGCCAGAGCATTTCCTCTGGCTGTGGGGAACTGCTTAGTCTGGTTATTTATGCCATCCGTGGGCTTTAGAACCTCCTACTCAAGCTGCTGGAAGACTGACAAGTTCTACAACTATTTGAAAACCACAGGTTCATCCAAAAAGATAGAATTCAGACTGAGCAATATGAGTTGCCTTATCTGCTTCAGAGTTAACAGAGATTCTTTTCTGCTCATCCATTTTATCAAATTAAGAGAGAGCACCTTTGTCCATCTGGTCATCCATCCCCATTCATTCATTCATTCATTCCTTTCACAGGTAAATGTTAGTATCTTGTCTCTGCCATTCAAGTATGACTCTTGGGTCCTATTTAAGTAAGTTATAATTCCTTGAGGGATTGAGGACAGGTGTGTATACAAAAAAAAGCACATGACAGAGAAGTGCTATCATTTCTTTGCGTTTATATATGTGAAGGGAGTTACAAGTTTTCAGATTCAAAATAATATTTCTTACATATTTCATGCATTTCTTTTATGAAAAAATAAACTAAACAAATTTAGTATTTTATCAGAAAATCTGGAACTTGTGATTATATGTTGAAAACTAGAACAAGCCCAGCAGAAGTTTGGATCACAGGAATATAGGCCAAGAACCCCTGGACGTAGATGTGTACAGAATGCATCCTGACATACAGGAACCTGCCCCCGACAGGTTACGGACAGGGGGTCTCCATGCAGCTCCCCTTAGATATAGGCCCCCCTTGCAAATACCTGTTTAAAAATGATGAGGTAGATGGAATCAAAACATTTGACAGTTTCTCAAAATTTAGCTCTATGTGAACGTCTATCCTGCAAAGTAAGATGAACAAAAAAGTAGAATAGAACACTTTGTCTTAGGCCTGCTATTTGACTTTTGTTGGGTTTGCTGTCTGTTTCTTATGAAATCTGCTCTGATTTTGTTGAGCTCCTGGACCTCTTTCTTAGTGTGCAGTTTTGATGAGAGAAATTGATGATAGAGAGGTGACAAGTGAGTGTCTGGACCGTTAGGATGGTGCTACAGGGAATGGTAAGATGAAAAAAACAGCCAAAGGTTAGAAAGTTAGATTTGACCATATCAGCAGAGTCATTAAAATGAGAATCATTGTAGACTTACTCACTTTGAAAATTATTTAAAAAGCTGCACCTTTCTCTCTTCTCTTCTGATAGAGAATATTGAATGGATAACTTAGTAAATGAATGTTTAGTTTAGTCAAGAAATTTGAACTCATGTTGTCGTTTTCATTTTAAATGGCCATGGTAAGAGTTAACATAATACTTATATTTTTAATGTACACTGAGATAAACAGAATGAATCAATAAGTTTATACAAGACAAAGTTATGTCAACTTCAATGCAATGACAAAATCAATCATAAATTTGTACTGAGGTTGTGTTGGAAATCCATGTCACATGTCTCCTAATAGAAATGTGCTATTTAAAATTAAAAATGAAAATTAAAAATTATGAATGTTTATAAAATATAACCCATACATGATCAACACCATATTTTATATATAATCTAAATCAAGACTGAATACTTATTTTTCATAAGGAATTTTGGAAATAGTTTTGGCTTGACAAAGTCAAAAACTTACTACTAAAATGTCTGAGTTCATTACCACCAAGTTCCTTGACTCTGTTTATTAAGTGCCCTCAAACCCAAATGATATAGAAAATGACGAGTGTCATGAACTTTCAAGCCTATATCAATTAATGTTCAAATTTAATGAAGTATATTACAGTTAATTTTAAGCAACATTCTTCAAATTCAATTTTGTTAAAATATTAAAATCAGGTCTTAGGTTTAAGTCTTTGATCCATCTTGAGTTGATTTTTGTATAAGGTGAGAAATGAGGATCCAGTTTCATTCTTCTACATGTGGCTTGCCAATTATCCCAGCACCATTTGTTGAATAGGGTGTCCTTTCCCCACTTTATGTTTTTGTTTGCTTTGTTGAAGATCAGTTGGCTGTAAGTATTTGGCTTTATTTCTGGGTTCTCTGTTCTATTCCATTGGTTTATGTGCCTATTTTTATACCAGTAGCATGCTGTTTTGGTGACTATGGCCTTATAGCATAGTTTGAAATCAGGTAATGTGATGCCTCCAGATTTGTTCTTTTTGCTTAGTCTTGCCTTGGCTATGCGGGCTCCTTGGTGGTTCCATATGAATTTTAGGATTGTCTTTTCAAGTACTGTGAAAAAATGAAGACCTGAAATCATAAAAATCCTTGAAGATAACATTGGAAAAACCCTTCTAGACACTGGCTTATGCAAAGACTTCATGACCAAGAACCCAAAAGCAAACGCAACAAAAGCAATTGTAAATAAGTAGGACTTAATTAAACTAAAAAAGTTTTTGAACAGCAAAAGAAACAATCAGCAGAGTAAACAGACAACCCACAGAATCGGAGAAAATCTTCACAATCTATACATCCAAAAAGGACTAACATCCAGAATCTATAGGGAACTCAAACAATTAGCAAGAAAAAAAAAAAAACGATCCCATCAAAAAATGGGCTAAGAACATGAATAGACAATTATCAAAAGAAGATATACAAATGGCCAACAAGCATATGAAAAAATGCTCAACATCGCTAATGATCAGGGAGATGCAAATCAAAAACACAATGCAATGCCACCTTACTCCTGCAAGAATGGCCATAATCAAAAAATGAAAAAATAATAGGTGTTGTCAGGGATGCAGTGAAAAGGGAACACTTCTACACTGCTGGTGGGAATGTGAACTAGTACAGCCATTATGGAAAACAGTGTGGAGATTCCTTAAAGAACTAAAAGTAGAACTACCATTTGATCCAGCAGTCCCACTACTGGGTATCTAGCCAGAGGAAAAGAAATCCTTATATGAAAAAGATACTTGCACAGGCATGTTTATAGCAGCACAATTCGCAATTGCAAAAATACGGAACCAGCCCAAATGCCCATCAATCAATGAGTGGATAAAGAAATTGTGGTGTATATATTTACCATGGAATACTATTCAGCCATAAAAAGGAATGAAATAATTGCATTCACAGCAACCTGGATGGAATTGGAGACCATTATTCTAAGTGAAGTAACTTAGGAATGGAAAACCAAATACCATATGCTCTCACTCATAAGTGGGAGCTAAAATATAAGGATGCAAAGGCATAAGAATGATACAATAGACTCTGGGGACTTGGGGGAAAGAGTGGGAGGAGGGTGAGGGATAAAAGACAACAAATTGGGTATAGTGTATACTGCTTGGGTGATGGGTGCAACAAAGTCTCACAAATCACCACTAAAGAACTTACTTATGTAAGCAAACACCACCTGTTCTCCAAAAACCTATGGAAATAAAAAAAAATCATTAAAAAAACTAGAGAGGATATAAAAAAATAATAATTTAAAAATAAAATATTAAAATCAGTAATAATCATTTTTAAAGGAACAGTGAGATGAAAATGAGTTGCATTAATAACTTTTTCTTTACACATTCTGCTTAACAAACAAGCAGAAGCTGCAGTGCTGTGTGAGCCATGGAAGGAGCAGTGGCCACAGCTCAAAGTGGGAGGGTCCTTAGAGGCTGGGCTAGAAGGGATCCCTGTGCAAGCTCCATGCCCACCTGCAGATTTTGCATTCCTTCTCTTGCCCAGTCTGCTAGTCAGCAACCTAGTAAGAAGTCAGATGTTGGTATGTCTCAGAATCCTTCTTTCCTTCTATCCAACTGCAAATGTGTTTAGTTTGATTCTTGCAAAGGCCATAACTACCAAGGATTGTCCAATAGGTTTCTGCTCCATCCCATTCAGTGGTTTTCAATAAAAGAGAAGCTCTTTTGGCATTTTTTTTTTTTTGATAGAATCTTACTCTGTCGCCAGGGCCGAAGTGCAGTGGCACAATCTCGGCTCACTACAACTTCCTCCTCTCGGGTTCAAGCGATTCTCCTGCCTCAGCCTCCCGAGTACCTGGGATTACAGGCGCCTGCCACTACGCCCAGCTAATTTTTTGTATTTTTAGTGGAGACGGGGTTTCACCATGTTGGCCAGGCTGGTCTCAAACTCCTGACCCTGTGATTTGCCTGCCTTGGCCTCCCAAAGTGCTGGGATTACAGGCGTGAGTCATCGTGCCTGACCTCTTTTGGCATTTTGAGCCTAATAATTTCCCATTGTGTAAGATGTTTAGCTTCTCTGGCTCCCATTGTTTTAATACTACTAGGACATTTAACTTAAATTACATTGTGATAAAGTCATTGAGATAAACCCAGAAATGGTCCCAACAAAATTTGTCAATGCCCCTTGGGGGGAGTTGTTGCTCCCAATTTAGAACCAGTGTGCCTACTTCAATATAATATTTACAAGTGGGTATTAACATGCTGCAGCAAAGGTCACTAAAATCATGGACTTCATCCACTAATATTACATAACAGTCACCTTCCTTCTTTAGCCCAGGGCTTCCCAGTCTTGACACTACTGACATCTTGGGCCAGATAGTTTTTTGCTGTGAGGGGCTACGTAGGTGCTATGCACTGCAGGACATTCAATAGCATCCTTAGTTTCTACATACTAGGTGTAGTAGCAATCCCTCCAGTGGTGACAACCAAAAATATCTCTAGACAGTCCCAGAGGGGGTGCAAAATCAACCCTCCCCACAGTTGAAAATCACTGCTTAGCTCAAAAACGCATTAAAGTGTACCAAGCATAGAGACAAAAGAAACATAGTCCCTATACATACCAAGTTCAAAAGTCAAGCATGAGAGTAGATGTATAGAGTAGAATTCCAAAGTAGAGTAGCAAGTGCTGTCATTCAAGCAAATCAGGTGTGCCTAAATCAGACTGAGGAATGGGGGTAGCAGACCAAGAAAACTATTTCAGAGAAGTCACACATTTGAAAACTATAAAGCATGCTGAGAAAAGCCAGGCAGAGGAAACAGCATGAGAAAAGCAAAGGGCCTTCCAGGAAGAGCAAATAGTTTGGAATCACAGACATGCGGTATTTGAAGTCAGAAGCAAGTGGTAAGAAATGAAAAATCTTGACATTAGGCTTAGGACTTTGATCTTCATGATGAAGAGCACAGAAGGCTAGCGAAACATAGAAGCAAAAAGTTGGTATCTACATTTTACAAACTCATCCATGTAGATGGACAGATGGAGACAGAAGTAGAACCAGCAATGAGGAGATGAGGAAGGGGCAATCTGTTTCATGGAATTGTTGCAGCGTTTGATGAAATCACATTTGTGAATGCACACTGTGAAACATATACTGATTTTTCTATAAAATCACTTCAAAAACAGTAAAGTGTGATATAAATGCAGATAGAAACTATTCCCACGGCTCTTTTGCTAGTGTTAGAATTTCAAAAACATTTCTAAAAGGAAGGTCTGAGACCACTAGGATTAATGGCAAGATCGTTCAAATAAATGAATACTGTCTCTTTGATGGAGTCTCGATCTGTCACCCAGGCTGGAGTGCGTGGTGAGATCTCGGCTCACTGCAACCTCTGCCTCCTGCGTTCAAGTGATTCTCCTGCTTCAGCCTCCTGGGTAGCTGGGATTACAGGTGCATGCCACCATGCCCAGATAATTTTTGTGCTTTTAGTAGAGACGGGGTTTCACCATGTTGGCCAGACTGGTCTCGAACTCCTGACCTCAAGTGATCTGCCTGCCTCGGCCTCCCAAAGTGCTAGGATTACAGGCGTGAGCCACTGCACCCAGCTGGAATAAATGAATACTCTTATAAGGTGATACTGAAAGGAAGTAACACATGTTAAGTTGATATATTGTTATTTTAAAAAGTATTTACACAAAACAGTGTGGGACTTCTTCAAAAAATTAATAGAATTAACATAGGATCTGGCAATTCCACTTTTGGGTATACATGCAAAAGAAATGAAAGCATGGTCTCAAAGAGATACTTGTACCCCCATGTACATAGCAGCATTATTTATAATAGACAAGGGGTGAGGCTGGGCTCAGTGGCTCACGCCTGTAATCCCAGCACTTTGTGAGGCCGAGGTGGGCGGATCACGAGGTCAGGAGATCGAGACCATCCTGGCCAACATGGTGAAACCCCGTCTCTACTAAAAATAGAAAAATTATCTGGGCATGGTGGTGTGTGCCTGTAATCCCAGCTAATCAGAAGGCTGAGGCAGGAGAATCGCTTGGAACCAGGGAGGCAGAGGTTGCAGTGAGCCCAGGTCGTGTCACTGCACTCCAGCCTGATGACTGAGCGAGACTGTCTCCAAAAAAAAAAGAAAAAATAGACAAGGGGTGGAAACAACTCTAATGTCCTTCAACAAATCTTTGAATAAACAAAATGTGGTCTATACATACTATGGAATATTATCCACTCTTGAAAAGGAGGGAAATCCTGATACATGCTACAACATGAATGAACCTTGAGGATGTTATATTAAGTCAAATAAGGCAATCACGAACAAGCAAATTCTGCATGGTTCCACTTATATGAGGTAACTAGAGTATTCAAACTCATAGAGACAAAAAGTAGAATGGTGGTTGCCGGGGGCTTGGGGGAGAGAGAAATGGGGAGTTATTGTCTAACGGGAATGGAATTTCAGTTTGGGAAGATAAAAATGTTCTAGAGATGAAACATAGTGATGGTTGTACAACAATGTGAATGTACTTAATGTTGCTCAACTGTACACTTAAAGGTGGTTATGATGGGACATTCTATGTTATATACATCTTATCACAATTCTTAAAGTAATTATTATTTTATAACACTTTGGATTACGCATGACATTTTTCAACTGAGAAATATGAACAACCAAATCACCACACTGGGTCCTGCTGTTTGAATACAGAGGTTAAGAAATAAGCAGAACCAGTTCCTCAGAGAGCTCGCGATTTCCCTTCTAGAATATCTCTCAAGTTCAAATTTCATCCATGCAACGTGTTCACTGCCCAGAGTAAGCTACAAAGCAGAAGTCCCACGTTGTTAGCTGGATCCTAAAGATGATCAAGCTCCACGTTCATTTAGCCTTTCAGGTGCTCAGCAAGTACTGTTCCATATTCTGTGCCAGGCACCGTGCATGGCACTTTGGGGTAGAACTGTGACTGCAACAGGCAAACATTTGTCTTCAAGTAGCTTCCAATATAGCACACACTAGTGACAACTAATTTTAAAAGTAATTTATTTTTGCCCAGCAAGGGAACCTAACCTAGACTAGAGTGTCAGGGAATAATCCTTCAAGGAACTGGTATTGAACTTGAGCAGTGAAGGTGAACTGGAGTTAACTCAGAAAGGTGAGCATGGAGATTCCAGACAATGGGCCAAAGTGTGCAAAGGATACAAATCAGCATTAGAGACACAAAGAAAGCCTGTGCAGCTGACTGCCTGGGTGGGAGGGCAGAAAAGAAGAAAGGAGTGGGATAAGTCTGGGAAGGTGGGACTGTCAGATGACACACCGCTGAGCCCTTGAGGTCCTCCTTCAATCCCTGCTGGGAGGCCTGGCGTGGCCTGCTAGCCAGTCTCCTCTCCTCTGCTCTACAGCTTTCAAGATAGTGTCTCTCAAGCGCCATTTTAATCACATCACTGCCCTATCAAAATACCTACAATTAATTTTCTCCAGCACTTCTTATGCTAGTTTCAAAGCTTTTCATTGTCAAGACCCCTTGAGCTTCCAGGGTTCTTGGTCATTGCATCACAGAAGTGGGCTTGCTGTCCTCTACCATGGGCAGGGCCACAAACCAACATGGCCTAAGGGAGTAAACACCTAAATGGGGAGATCAGATTAACATCGGTAAAGTAGTATTTAAACACTACAGAGGGGCACACAACTGAAGGGCTCACTCAGGTAAGCTGTCCTATCTTGGCGTCAAGGCAGTCCAATTAGAGCAGGTGGAGAAAACCAAAGAACGGGGGCTGCTGTTGGAGGCTCCAGAGGTCCCTGGCTTCAACTGTGATGCAGAAATTGCATAAGACATGGAGGGGAGTGTGGAGGAGGGCACCGATCATTAGCACAGATGCAACAGGCGAAGTCAACACGGTGCCTTGACTCTCCACAGGAGAAAGGAGATGATGAAATATAGAGACAGACTTGAAGAGAAGACCCATATTTAAGGGAAAAGGGGAAATGGAACCAAGCAAAGAACACCAAGAAGCAATGAATGACTACTGAAAGATGAGGAAAGCCTGGATACAAACTTATTTTCAACATTACTGATTATGTTTATCATTCTTTATTGATTAATTAGTAAAGGGTTCAGTGTAAACTATGTGTTAAGCACTCTGATGTCCAAATCAGCTATTATCTGCACCACTCATAGACAGTTATCACACTTTTATGGACTCTATTTCAAGTAATTATAAACTCCCCGAGTCTACTCTTTGTGTCTACTCTTTGTGTGCACACAGTACCTGACACGCAGTCAACACTGGGCCCTTTCTTGGCTGCAGCAAGCATGTTAAGCCCTGGCCTCCCACACACCTATTTTCAAGGTCCACAAACAGTGGCAAGGGCAAACTGTGCCTGCCTCAGGAGCCAACAGAGCCAAGAGGAGGGCAAGTCTGCAGAGAAGATGCTGACTCACAGCAAGGCATCAGGGCCCCCAATCTGGGCTGCTGCTTGATAGGCCTCTCTGGGGACTCTTGAGATGTAAAATGCTGGAGGAGAGAGAGGATCCTGCAGCAGTGACATCATGTCAATGGGACAAGCGCCTCCTGAGGTGTTTTATCACCATGATGGAAAGGGGGTCACAAGCCCTAATCTCATGGGTCAGAGGGAGGAAATGTCTTGAGAATTATGCCTGCTGATGGGAATGGGCATTTCTGTACAGGGGAGTGGAGATTTCTAGAAAGGTTTTCTGATGAGCAAGGGACAGGAGTCAGATCGCATGTCTCTTCCTCAGTGTCAGCTCTGATTCTGCAGTTCTTCATAGCTGGAGACACTTGCCCTCCACTCTGTCCCATGCCAGAGCCCACCACAATCTGGTTGGAGGCCTGTGAGCAAGTCTTGTTGCTAACATACCATCTACTCTGGGTGGCAGAGATGAGCCCTCTGGCATCCAGTTTTAGCTTCCTCTTTACAGTATCATTTCTCCCCTTTCTGTAGGATGCACCCCACTCCTAAATGCATATCATTGTATGATGATCTCACTGGGGCTCAAATTGAACATACTTGGCCAGCATCTATAATCTTACTCTGCTATCTTTTTAATATGACCCTAGTATTCTTCAATAATTCTTCTTTAAAGACTCCTCTTGTTCATTTTCTTGCCCAGACCTGGAATAAACCGTTTTTTCCAAAGAGCTCTAGTTTCTTTTAAAAGAAAATGGAATTCAGAGACTAAAATCTGAGTTCTAGATCTGTCTATTCTCATTGGGTTATCACTGATTCTAGGTTTTTCAGTAGAGCTCAAAAATAAATTTTTTTAAGAAATAAATAAGTCATGATTTCAGAATGACATTGCTCTTTTTGTTTGTTTGTTTGAGACAAGGTCTCACTCTGTTGCCCAGGCTGGAGTGCAGTGGCATGATCATAGCTCACTGCAGCCTCGACCTCCCGGGCTCAAGTGATCCACCTCAGCCTCCCAAGTAGCCGGGATTACAGGCATGTGCCACCATACACAGCTAATTTGTGTTTGTGTGTGTGTGTGTGTGTGTGTGTGTGTGTGTAAAATATTTATATATATGTGTGTGTATATATATATATTTTATTGTAGAGACAGAGTTTCACTATGTTGTTCAGGCTGGATTTGAACTCCTAGGCTCAAGCAATCTGCCTGCCTCAGCCTCCCAAAATTCTGGGATTACAGGTGTGAGCCACCACCCTAGGCTGATATTTATAATTTTAAAGATTACAAGGTTCTATGTGAGTCCTTTGATTTTGTATTTGTTTGTTTTCTTTTATTGCTGAAATCCTTATTCCTAAATATTATAACATGATTTATTATTTTCTTTACCCTGTACTACATATATAATAATTTCAAAATATGTATCAAATCTTATTAATAAGCTTACTGAATGCAATTTAAGATGTCTTTGTGGCTCTTTTGCCTTTATGTTGTATCAGGAGGCCTAGAAAGTCATTAAAGTCATATGAAACAGATTTTGTTTGGTTATGCCATCAATCTATCAAGGTTCATTCCTCATTTCCAGTCCTACTGCCTTCACCTGTTCTTTACCTCCTTCTATAGGTAACTATGTTCTTATTAACGTTTTATCTTTTGAATGTGTCTTTTTGAAACAGAATTAATTGCAGGTATGCTTCATCTTTCCCTCCTTTTTAGTCTATATATATCTTCTGCTTTTTTCTCTTAACAGTGTTATCTGGAGATCCCTCTACAGCAGTCTATTTTCTCATTCCTTTTTTACAGCTGTGTACTACTCCACTGTAGGACGTACCTTAATCCATTAAGCCAATTCCTTCTCAATGGATACCTGTTTCTAGTCATCTGCTATAACAAATAGTGCTTCAGTGACTCACTTTGAACGTACATCCCTTTGAATTCTTGAGAATGGTTATTTATTTAAACCACATTCCATATTACCTTTTTTTTTTTTTTTTTTTGAGACAAAGTCTCACTCTGTCACCCAGGCTGGAGTGCAGTGGTCTTCTCAGCTCACTGCAACCTCTGCCTCCTGGGTTCAAGTGATTCTCGTGCCTCAACCTTCTGAGTAGCTGGGATTATAGGCATGCGCCACCATGCCCGGCTAATTTTTGTTTTTTTAGTAAAGACGAGGTTTTGCCATGTTAGCCAGACTGGTCTCGAACTCCTGACCTCAGGTGATCCACCCGCCTAGGCCTCCCAAAGTGTTGGGATTACAGGCATGAGCCACCGTGCCTGGTCCTCTTCTACTGATTCTTATTTATTCCTAGAGCCATGTAAAAATGGTAAGTCTTATGAGGATGAGGCCAGGTCTGTCTTATTCTCCATTACACCCTCAGCACCCAGCTTGGTATCCAGCAAACAGCTGGTCAAAAATATTGGTCAATAAATAAACATTTATGATAGTAACTTTATATTACATCTTTTTTTCTCAATTTAGCAAATTGTACAACCTTTGGAAGTTATTTAGCCTTTGTAAATCTGTTTCTTCTGTGAAATGAGAAAAATAATTCTTAATAATATTTTTACAAAGATTAAGGACAATAAGTATAAAATAATTAATACACTGGCACATAAAAAGCACTTAAATGTTCACATCTCTCACGATCATCACCATCATGATCATCATCATCTATTCATCATTCATCAACACTACGGAATAATAAATTCAGATATGCTGTTGTAAGAAGAAGCCAAGTGCAACAGAGCAACACAGCAAGTGTTTTATTGCCTGTGTACACAGTCGGAGGGGTTGATATATAGTAAGAAAAAGTATTTCTGAAACAAGCCAGACAACTGTTTTCTGAGTGAAATATTTGTGTCAGGGATTACTCAGGGACATTTCTTATATTCAGGAATTTTTCTTCTTCCCTGATTATTAAGTATCTAATTGTAGTCTTGAAAACAGAAATAACAAAAGACAAGTCTAGCCTAGAAAGAGGTGTCTATTGATAGGGAACTATATCCCAATGGGCTATTAGTTATCTGGCATTTCTTCTGAGATGGTAAAGATCTGGGGAAAGAACTGAAACACACAGTAAATCCAATCTAAATGTTTATATCAGAGACTAAGAGATAAGAATAAGAAATGCGTAAGGTCCTTCACAGTCCAAAGCTTCTATATTTCCCTCCTATACTTAATATCAGTCAGTAACAAGAAATGAGGTAAAATTTATTTTTGCCTGATTCAATGGTCTATAATTTTTTAAAGTCCAAGTTTCCCATGATAGAAAAAAATTAACTTATTATATAAGTACCACAAGGAAATACATAATTGCTACATAAATAATAAAGGTTATCTTGAAAGCAATGGCAAATTGAACTTCAAGGCAAGCCAATTCCAAGAGTAATGTCTCTGTTTTTCAGCTCCATTTTTAAAGATCTGGATTCTGGCCACAACCTTGTGGTGAGTCTACTGAAATGGGTCTGACCACAGTCTGTAATATGCACTACCAAAACTGTGCCTTCCCTTATGGAGTTAGATTCCATTAATGCAGAGTGATTAGATTATCTGCTATGTATAAAGCACCATTCCAAGGACCAATGGGGATTCAAATCACAGCCCTACTCTCAAGGACCTTCTGATCTTGAGGGAGGAATAAACCCCCTTGACTCCAAACCTCTCTCCAGATAGTGTGCCCTTTTTCTGCTCCCTGCTTGAAAGAACTGTCTTCACCTCCCATTGCCTCTTAAACCCACAGCAGTCTGGCTTCTGCTCCCCAACACACCACTGAAAGTTTCTTGTCAATGTCTCTAAAAACAAAAAATAACCACAATTTCCTGTTTTCTCAGCAGCGAGCAACACAGTTGCTCACAATGGAAATGCTCTCCTTGCTCTTCCCTTGTCTCCCGACGCCTCCTCTTTGCCCTGCCTCTGAGTGTAGCGCTCCTGGGGCCTCACTGTTAGCACTCATTTCCCGCTCTACACATTCTATTTAGGAAGTGTTACCCAGTCCCTTGGCGGTAAATATCATCTCTATGTTGATTATTTTTCAAATCTGTATCCCTAGCTTAGATTGTTCCTTTAAACTCCCCACACCTATATCCAACTATCTACTCAACATCTCCACTTTGATATCTAAAAGGAAACTCCAAACTACTATGTGTAAAACTAGGTGTTCGGTTTCCCTACCAACTATCCTCTTTCATCCTTCATCTCAGTCAGTGGCACCTCATACGCCTCTGGTTCAAACCAGATAATCAGGCATCTCCCTTGATTCCTCCCCCATCCTTACGCCTCTACCCTAAAAATGAACTGATCATTAAATCCTATCAAAATCTATCCATGATTCTCCATCTTTACTGCCACCACCATCTCTTGACTGGGTGACTGAAATAGACACCGAACCTCTCATTTCTATTTTTGTCCTTTCTTTGATCTACTTTCCATCCAGCACTCAGAGAAACCTTTTGATAAAGTAATTCAGCATATCTTTTTATATGTTTTGTGAACTCTGTTAATGTTTTATACCTCATGTTGGTATAAATTATTAAATCAGCAAGGACGGAGGAAAAGCTAAAATTATATAGCTACAAGTGAACCTAACTATATATCAAATGATAGCATAACCACAAAGATGAACCAAAAAATAATTGGAAAATAATTCATCTAAGTAACTTTTGAGCATGTTACTCTGGCAGTACATTACTGGTGATGCGTATTCTAAAAAAAAAAATAATAATAATAACTTCTAAACAGTCTTGAACTTTTCCTTAAAGATTTGTCTATGGTGGTGTTATGGGAGTAGTAATTCGTGTATATATTTTAGGACTGAGCAAATGATATTGTTGTGAGCTAGAGTTCTCACTGTGGGAGAAGGGAGATATAAATATGAAATAATGGAAGGAGAGAAAGAGTCCTTTGATATGGATTGGATTGAAGGTCTCAGAATAAACTTTAATTGATTATTCAATCATTCAATCTATAGATTGATCAATCTTTTAGCTGTGTCTACTGAAAGGGGCTAGAGGCAAAGACAACTAGTAGCAACAAATGCAACTACTGCAGCTCTAGATTTTGGTTTCCAAATGTAATTCCCCACCAAAAGGATCATGGCTCCTTGGTGAAATGGCTGATTCTTCCAGGGCTGGGGCAGGGAAAGTACGAGCTAAGCCAGGAATATCTTGTTGGGTAGAAAGCAACAACGTGCTCACAAACTGATGAGGATATATCCAAGAAAACTCATGGATATATCCACGAAAAGGTCTCACTTGCCAAATTTTTGATCATTTGAACATCAAAAAGAATGATGATAGGAATAGATTATACTCCCATTGAATTAAAAAATGAATTTGTGGGACCACACTAAAAAGTGCAACAAAACTATGAGGACGGGGGAAAAAAAAACTCTTCTTTACAGAATAGTACCAATTAATAAAGGTAGGAAGAAAATTAGAAAATTACCATTTTGCAACCACCATTGTAATGATTATTTTAGTCCAGAATCATCAATTTATACTATAACTATTGGGTGAAAGACTTTTGGAAATACAATATAAAGAGTTTCCAGGTTTCACTCCACAGATTACTCACTAAACACAAAGGGGAAAATTGGTAATTTTACAATAGGGACATCTGGCTGACACTACCTTAACCAATGATGCGGGTTGGGGAGAGGTGGGAGAATTCTGTCCCTCTGATATGATGGATGACAAGGACACAACACTGACACAGAGGCTTAGATAACTCATTTTAGAATAAGAACAATCAAGATAGGTGGCAACTAAAAGCCATGTTTGATCCTTGTTTGAATCTTGGATACAGAAAAACAAAACCAAAAACCCCAGCTCTCTAAGACATTACTGGCTGGCATAACGGAAATTTGGATAGGAACGATATATTAGACAATACCATCATATGAATAACTTTTCTGGGTGTGATAATTACATGGGAGAATGTTCTTTTCCTTAAGAGACACCTGTTGAAGTTTTCAGGGGTCATGTGTCTTGATGTCTCCCATATATTCTTAAAGGGTACAGCAAAACTAGTCAGACTCTCACACACCTTACAGCTTTAATACATGCTGTTCCCCTTGCTTAAAATGCTGTTCCTCCTCTATTCACCTTTGCTTGGCTAACTCCTACTCATTCATCAGACTTCAGATTAGAAGTTACTTCCTCCTCTGGGAAGCCTTCCCTAAGTACTAATGCCAAGATTCCATCTCCCATCTTTACTGTACAGCACCTGCACTTCCCCTATGGTAACAATGATCACTGTGTTATTCATGCCTGTTTATCTGTTAACTGCATGGGAGAAGACATCAATCCATCTTGTTCTCCTGCTGCCTCCACAATATCCAGCAGAACATCTGGCACTCAGTCTGTTGTCATAGACATAAGTGCTCTCCAACAAACATGTCCAGTTAGTCTCTCAGGCACAGGGTAGAATTGCACTATCCTTCCCCTTTGAAGTGAGGTGTGCTCATGCAACATTCCCTGACAAAGCAGTCTGAAGGCAAGAAGTATTTGCCATTTCCAAGCAGGAGCCTCCAGAGCCACAGCATGACACCCACTCAGTGTCCCTCAACCATAGTGACTGGTATGATCATCCAGGGTCATGGGGGGGATGATAGCAAGTAATGCTCCCAGTCAACCCAAAATGAAGACTCAAACAGTCCGTGTTCCTAACTACCTATAATGAGCAGGACCCCCTGCTAACCATACCCCTGACATCCCAATGGACCATGTTGGACATGTAGTATAAATAAAAAATAGGGCCGGGTGCAGTGGTTCACGCCTGTAATCCCAACACTTCGGGAGGCCAAAGTGAGAGGATTGCTTGAGGCCAGGAGTTTGACACCAGCCTGGGTAGCAGAGCAAGACCCCGTCTCTACAAAAAATAAGAAATTAGCCAGATGTGGTGGTGCATGCCTGAAGTCCCAGCTACTCAGGAGGCTGAGGTGGGAGGATCATATGAGCCCAAGTGTTTGAGGTTGCAGTGAGTTACAATTACGCCACTGTTCTCCAGCCTGAGTGACAATGAACCCTATCTCTAAAAAGAAATAATAATAAAATTAAAAATTAAAAATAAACTTGGTGGCCAGGCTCAGTGGCTCACACCTGTTATCCCAGCACTTTGGGAGGCTGAGGTGGGCAGATCACAAGGTCAGGAGTTCGAGACCAGCCTGGCCAATATGGTGAAACCCTGTCTCTACTAAAAATACAAAAAATTAGCCGGGCGTGGTGGTGCATGCCTGTAATCCCAGCTACTCTGGAGGCTGAGGTAGGAGAATTGCTTGAACCTGCGAGGCAGAGGTTGCAGCGACCTGAGATCGTGCCACTGCACTCCAGCCTGGGCAACAGAGAGAGACTCCATCTCAAAAAAACAAACAAACAAACAAACAAAAAACTTGGTAAAGCCAAACACATGTTTAGGTTGGTTATTACTTCAGCATAAGCTAGCACATCTTGACTGATCCATATACAACTAATGGCATTAGGTTAAAAATCATCTGAAAACCTAAATATTCTTCAATAGTGACTAGTCAAATAAGTTGCCCTTTATAGAAATATTGGAATACCATGCAGACATGAATAATGAGGAGGCTCTTTGTGTCATGATCTCCAAGATGTTCCATCAAGAGGGACAACAGGGCTATGTATGCATAAATGATTACACATTTGTATAACATTTTTAATGAAAGTGTTGACCAAGGAACCAAGGTAGGATGGATAAGAGATTCCAATGCAAATTTCTGGGACAAAAAAACATTTCTAGATAGATTATGAGGATGAGTTACATGATCCTAAATTCCTTACTCAAAATGATGTAATAGAATTTAGAAAAAAAGGGTATATGAAGATTTTTGGAAAGGCCTGCTGGTGTGCAGCTAGTCCTGTGTCCCATCCTCTTCCTCAGTCAGAAGAGAAGCGCTTCAGTGGGACCACTTAGAAACTTATAAGTCCCCTACCATTTGGGTGGGGGTAGAAGGCACCTAATATGAGTCCCCTACCATTTGGGTGGGGGTAGAAGGCACCTAATATGAGCCCCCTACCATTTGGGTTGGGGTAGAAGGCACAGTGGACTGCTGTCTGATTCCCTCCTAGAAAAGGTGAAAGATCAGAGACTGGCTGGCTAGCTGCTTTGATGGAGGTATGAGCTTGGCCTGCCCTCCTAGAGTGTGGTGGGGAAAGGAATATGTGGACGTTGACATGGACTATGTACGCGAGAATCTGTATAGATCTGCTTTAGATCATGTCTGAATGGGCTACGGAGCAGAGGAGACTGGCACAGAAGAAAGCTGGAGGTGGACAGAGTATGCAACCAGACAGGGCAAAGACACAGCAGCCCTCATCAAGACAAGCGCCAGAGAGACAAGGCTGGCAAGGAGAACAGAGTCTCTGAGGGTGTGGAAAGGCAGCTCTCCAGAGAATCAACTAGGAACACGTGCCATGCTCTGAAAGCCCAAGGCCCCCTTACCACCGTGACAGTCAACAAAGAATCTTCCTGCTCTCCAAAGCCAAGGACATCAGAAACATCAGTCAACGCATGAGGGAGGAAGAGAGCAAGAAAGACTGTGCCATCCTCATGTCCCTTCCTACCTGGAAATGACTGGATGATGGTAGCTTTGATTATGCCAAGGAACTGCACATTCTGCGATCTAAATCAAGTCTGTATTTTGTTGCTAAAAGCCATCATAAAATTTGTATAAGCTGTGATGTGAAGTCATGGGCGTTACCCATATTTTTATCTGGGATATGGGAAGAAAACTCCTGTCCAAGGCAAATTGAAAGGAACAGTGGAAGACAAATAAAGTTGCTTTATGATTACACTCAGGACCCCTTACATTCAAACTTCCACTCACATGTGTATAAAATACCACTGCAAGAAAACACAAGAGGCTGTGTATAGTGGTTCCATCTCAAGTGGGAAACTAGAAATAAGTGTGAGAGGGAAGTTATATTTTTATTATATGTCCTTTTGTACATTTTTAGTGTTTGTATGTCTTCATGCCAATGTGCAAGGAATATATACCCATTGGTATGGTTTGGCTGTGTCCCCACCCAAATCTCATCTTAAACTGCAGCTCCCATAATTCCCACAGCTCATGGCAGGGACCCAATGGGAGGTAATTGAGCCATGAGGCAGGTCTTTCCTATTCTGTTCTCATGATAGTGTATAAGTCTCATGAGATCTGGTGGTTTTATAAAGGGGAGCTCTCCTGCACAAGCTCTCTTGTCTACCACCATGTAAGACGTGACTTTGCTCCTCATTTGCCTTGTGCCATGACTGTGAGGCCTCCCTAGCCATGTGAAACTGTGAGACCATTAAACCTCTTTCCTTTATAAACTACCCAGTCTTGGGTATTTCTTCACAGCAGTATGAAAATGGACTAATATGCCCACATTGTAAAATGACCTGTTAGAAGTGATATGGCTGAGCAGGTAAGAACTCCAATGCTTGGGCTTTAATCCTAGTCAGGCCATGACTAGCCATGTATTCATAAGCATGTTAACCTACCTCTCTTTGCTAGTTTCATTGACTGTAAAATGGGAATAATGATGGTGCCTCACTGGGGCACTATGAAGGTGAGATGATTTCTTTCTTGCAAAGCTCTTACAAAAAAAAAGTGTCTGCCTCATATGTGCTCAGAAGCGTTGGCTGTGATTCTTACCTATTCCAATAATAGTAACATAATACAATTGTAAATGCTAAAGGAAGAAAATGCACTAGACAAAAAATGTGGAAAAATCTGAATACCATTAAAAGTGAGTCCATTTTCTTCTTGCAGAGGACATAGGAAGGAGATTTAGAGAAGACGATATAGCAATAAGATATTTAATGTTTAAAATTTACCATTTAGGAGACCAAATGATTAAAGCCAGAAAATAACAATCACCTAGTAAGTATTAGCTTCTACACAAAAGAAGTAACACCAAGTGAATTAGATTGTTCAATTAAAACAAAAATAATAGGGTATTAAAGTATTAGACATTACCCTTGGGAAAAATACCATGTATCTGAGGAGTGAACCATTCAAAATACAGCCAATCACTAATGGGGGGAAATCTCAAGAAGCCCTGAGAAAGCTGGGAGTGGGGCAGGAGACATAAGTTTAACTACTAGAAAATTTGTCATGAACTTGTAATACCAGAATGGAAAGAAAAAACAAACACAGAAACACAACCTGAGGACATAAATCCTGCCCACCGACATGCATGTATCTAATGGCAGAAGACAAGGATAAATGGGAGGAGCTGTGCAGAAAGAGAGCAACTGACTCAAGAAAATAATTATCAATTTGAAAAGACTGTTGCCCCAGCAACAAATGAAGGTACTCCAGGAAAGCAGAGCCCTCCACACAGGCAAGCCCTCTGCACATGCCGTCCACAGAGCCATCCGGAGAAGCAAAAATTGAGAGACAACTGCATGGGATGGCATTCAGCCCAAATCTGGAGGGACTGAGTCTGTAGTTCTTTTGGAGGCCCAGGACCCAGGAAAGATGCCCTTTTTTTTTTTTTTTTTTTTTTACTGTGAATATATATTTTTTATTTAGTCATTTTTGTTTACAATTGAAACTCTGGGAATTCAAAATTAACATCCTTGCCCATGAGCTTCTTATAGACACCAGAAAAAGTTTCAACCTTGTGTTCCACATTGTTCTGCTGTGCTTTGTCCAAATGAACCTTCATGAGCCGGCTGCCATCTAGTTTCACGCGGATTCTCTTGCCCACAATTTTGCTTGTGAAGACCAAGTCCTCAAGGATGGCATCGTGCACAGCTGTCAGAGTATGGCTCCTGGGATGCTTTTGCTTATATTTTGTACAGCTTTTCCAAGTTGGCTTAGGCAGGATTCTCCTTTAAGCGATAAAGACAACATGCTTCCCACTGAACTTTTTCTCCAATTCACATACTAGCCGGACTTGGATTTTCTGGAAAGATTTCAGTTGAGGAACGGGAACAAAGATTATGATAGCTTTCTGACCACCACCAACCTCAATTTCCTTGGCTGCCATAATATTCAGCTCCCTGAGCTGAGCCTTGAGGTCCAAGTTCATCTCCAGCTCCAGAAGAGCCTGGGAGATGCGGGACTCGAACTCGTCCGGCTTCTCGCCATTAGGCTTCACGATCTTGGCGCTCGTACTGAACATGGCCTTCTCCTGGGAGAACTTGCCGAGCGCCGGCTTAGGAAGAGCAGAAGGATGCCTTTTAAGCAACTCCATGCTGCAGGCTCTTCGCCTGAAATACAACTCTGCTTCAGGCAGGTGAGGGCAGGAGGCAGGAAGCCAGACATTCAGGTAAATTATGGAGATAGTGCAAAGGATCAGGCATCTCAATGCAAGAATAAATAAGGCCCCCAGAAGTGGAAGGACCAAATATCAAGGTTCTGGGAGTCAAAGGAAAGAAAGCATGGACTATGTGATCCATTAACAGAGAAAGCCTTTCTTTTGAGGAAACTGGATAACAATGCTAGGACTGACTAGAACAGAGGTAACCTTTTGAGAATGGCAACGTGCCAAGCAGTTCAAGAGAATAACAACAATCATGTGGAATGGGCCAAGCCTGCTATGCGAGGCTGCGCAGGTTGCATGCTGCACAAAGGTCTCCTGCTGACAGGATTAAATGGGCCAGGAAAGGCTGCCTCTTTGGAGAGGCTACCTTTCCATAATTTACACTAAGTCATCTTATATGTTAAAAGTAGGAGAGGAAGTCTAGGTGAAGCCTGGGGGGCGGGGGGAAAGAAGTAAAGGAGGAAGGAAGGGTGGTCAAAGAAATGCAAAACCTTAAATTCTACTCTCAAACCTGAATATCCAATTGGACCTTCATTTCTTAGGCCTCAGGAAGGGGGTTGGGGTATTAGGGGGTTAGGGGTATGAAGGAGTAGAATAATCCAAGATGCCTAGAGCATGGGGCCCACAACCAGAGCTCCATGGCAACTTTCTTCAAAATGTATATTTAAATTTCTATCAAACTGTAATTTATTATGCAAGGTGAAATATGTAGGAAGAAACAGACCGATGTGTGCAGTTTACTTTGAAATGCATCAAGAAAATAAAGTAGAATAAGGGATCGCTAGAAGGATGGACAAATGGATAGAAAGGTGATAAAGCAAGTAGAGTAAAATGTTCATGGGGTAAACTCAAAGTGCTATGTATATAGCTGCACACAGTAAAATTATTTCAGCTTTGTTGTATGTTTTAAACTTTTTATAGTAAAATCTTGGGAAAACATTGATTGAAAAAAGAGGAATCGAGATCTAAGAAAAAATAATGACACACCAGAATGGGAAACGGCTGCAGACTGTCATAGAAATGTCACCAATTAGCTGTAATAACAATTAGAATGTGTTGGGTGCTTACTATTTGCCTAGTGCTATGCTAGTGCTTGACAGATAATCCTATTAATTATAATTATAGCAATTAGAAATGATGTAGGTCTTATCAAAGAAGGTCTCTAAGATTAAATTTTAAAAAGCAGAACTGGAAACAGAACAAGTCTGGCTAAAGTTAAAGGAAAGGAAACAGAAAGCTCCAGCCATAGAACGAAAGACAGGCTTTCTGTCCACAAGCGGGGAAAGGGCTGCCCATACAAACATATATGCCAGGCCTGGAAAATTAAGTCTAATGTTGCCCGGCATGGGGTCTTGAAGGATGTGAAAGTTCCAACCCATTCTTCCCACCACTCAACTCTTCCTCTCCAGTGGAGTTGACCACAATGCCACTGGCATAATCATAATTCCACTGCAGGTGGCTCCACGGTTTCACAGCCTTCAAAGTGCTCTTATATGTAGTATGTCAGGCAGCATAATGTCCTGGAAGGGCCAAAGACTCGGATGCTACAGGACCTCAGCTAAATGCTGGATTTTACCACTGACTATAGATGACTGTGGGCAAATAGCTGACTCTCCCTGGACCTCAGTTGCTAAACCTATAAAATGAAAGTGTTATCCCCATTTTACAGATGATTAAACTGAGGTCTGGAGAAGTAAGGTGACTTGCATAAGGCCACACAATTGATAAGAGGAAGAACGAGCCAGGCATGGTGGCTCACGCCTGTAATCCCAGCACTTTGAGAGGCCAAGGCGGGCGGATCACCTGATGTCGGGAGTTCAAGACCAGCTTGACCAACATGGAGAAACCCCACCTCTACTAAAAATACAAAATTAGCCAGGGTGGTGGCGCATGCCTGTACTCCCAGCTACTCGGGAGGCTGAGGCAGGAGAATCGCTTGAACCCGGGAGGTGGAGGTTGCGGTGAGCCGAGATTGCGCCATTGCACTCCAGCCTGGGCAACAACAGCGAAACTCTGTCTCAAAAAAAAAAAAAAAAAAAAGAGGAAGAATGGGAACTGTGTCTTTTGACATGAGGCTAGTGCTCTCAGGACTTACACAGGCCAGAATCATGCCCATATGCCCCTGCTGTAAAGAACACTCTGCTCTGAATCTCCATTAATTATCATCTCAAAAGAATAAAGACAAAACACATGTAATAAGTGACAATTTAAATATCTCTCAAGACTAACCATCTTTCAGTTTGTCCAAAAGAAAAGGAGGTTGGGAACTGTGTATTTGACATGAGGCTAGTGCTCTCAGAACTTACACAAGGCCAGAATCATGCCCATATGCCCCTGCTGTAAAGAAAACTGCTCTGAATACTCTTTCCAAGTTATCCAAATTGACTTACTGTTTTCAGTTGTACATTTCCAAACATTTCTCACAAATATATACATAGTTTATAAATGCTAATTAATCACTATTTTCCACATTATCACCCAGATCTAAGTACATTCTAGGGATTATAAATAAATTTGCCTCAATAATTAATAATAAAAATATTTAAAATACTCAAAGTATCTGTTATATTAAAAAGTGGATCCTTTCAATAGTGAAACTTTCTTTCTTTCTTTCTTTTTTTTTTTTTTTTTTTTTTGAGATGGAGTTTTGCTCTGTCACCCAGCCTGGAGTGCAGTGGCGTGATCTTGGCTCACTGCAACCTCTGCCTCCAGGATTCAAGCGATTCTCCTGTCTCAGCCTTCATGAGTCACTGGGATTGCAGGCATGCACCACCACGCCCAGCTAATTTTTTGTCTTTTTAGTAAAGACAGGATTTCACTATGTTAGCCAAGCTGGTCTTGTGCTCCTAATCTCAAGGGATCCACCCAACTTGGCCTCCCAAAGTGCTGGGATTACAGGCATGAGCCACCACACCCAACCAAAACTTTCTTAAACATGTTTAAACTAAAATTGTAAACAAAAAGAAAACAGAAAAGTTCACAGAACTTTGACTAAGCCCCTGCTGTCAGTAAGCAGTCAGGTATCTTCTTGGAACAAATGATTGTAAATGAACAAATTGAAAAAGACATTAACAATCACAGGCAACACTGAAGTGCAGAGGAATATATTTAAGCACGAAGATCTGAAGAACAAAGCCTCCATTTGGGGAAGAGGGCCTTTTATTTCAAGGGCACTTTCAGAAACCAGAAGACCAAAGCAAGAAAAAAATAACCTGTCATGTTTTTAATAACGCAGGCTATATATTAAAAAGTAGCATAACAGTAACTGTACCCACATACAATTATTCTATAATAGTTAAAGGCATGCTGGCATAGAGATATAACAATTTGGGCATATCTGTTTTTTTTTAAAGTCTGATATAAAAGCAAAATTATTTAAGGTCTCAGACTTTACTTTCTAAAATTTTGAGATTTAGCTGAAAATTACATTTAAATATCATCAAAAAGCAAATTAATGAAGGACAATTTCCTACTCACAAACACAAGATCTAAATCAAGCTACTCAATAAAGCATAGTTAGGTAGAAATTAAGGGTTCTGACCATACGTAGACATCAAATCTTAAGTAGAGTTTTATAAAAATGAGCCCATATGCATAGGAAAAAACATCTGCAGGAACACAACATTAAATGCGAATGTGGTGGTTTCTGAGGAGTGGAATTATAGGTGGAAAATATATTGCTTTTATTCTTAGGAAATATTCAAAAAGTATAGTGAGGTAGACTATTTAATGCTAGTTGGAAAAGAAAGAGACACACAAGTTAATTATATATGAGATCAGTGTTACCAAATGCAGAGCACTCTGCTATGTACAAGGAAAAACCAAGATGAATAAACAACATAAAAATCCATGCCCTCAAAAAAGCTTATGATCTAGACATAGAAGTGAAATACATGTTCCAACAACTAAGTACCAGACAGAATTCGAAAAGTACTATTAATGCTAATAGTCTAACTACAGAATGCTGTAAAACTAATAGTAAATACAGAATGGTATAAGGGCAAGGGAGAAGAGAAATTAATTCTAGCTAAATCAGAAAACATAAGGATGGAGAGATTTTAGAAGATGGGGAAGGATTAAAAAGGGCTATCTCTTACTGAGCACTCTCTGTGTGACAGGTACTAAGAAGTACTTTCATCTATTAATTCACTCAGTTCTCATATTCACCCTATAAGGGAGGTACTGTAATTATCCCTGCTTTACAAACAAGGAAGGTGAAGCTTGCTCAAGCTCATATTAGGTCTAGTGAGCAGCAGAACCAGGATTTCACCCTGGTGAGGGCTGTGCTCCTCATGACTTTGCTATGCTGTCCCTCTAGGAAAAGAGAAACCACTGGGGCCCATAGGCTAAGGAAAAATGGGTTAAGAAAAATGGTGCGGAGAATCAGAAAGAAGAAATAAACTTGCATTTATTGCAGGGTTTCCAAGCAGTTTCTGTATTTAATGCTTTTTATATATAATTTTGGTTAATTTTTCTGTGAAGTGGTGATTGTGATGATCACATCCGTTTTAATGATATGAATGCTAAGTTTTAGAAAAGTTCAGTATCAGACCAAACAGCTAATAAGTAGCAGAACAGAATTGTAAACCCAAGGCCTGAGTCCAATCTCAGGTCAAGACAGACCTGTGGCTTTATATGTACTATCTCATTTAATCCCTAAAACAATCTGTAAATCTGGTACTATTACTTTTTCTCATTTTACAGATAAGAAAATGAAAAATGAGATATGGTAAATAACCTCCCCAAGGTCACAGAACTGGTAACCAGTAGACCCAAAATTTAACCTAGGCATCATGACTTCACACCCAGAGTTCTGACCCTTTGGATACACTGCCGGAAAAAGAGTAAAGAGAAACCCAATCACAAATGTCAAACTCGGAATCCATCAGTCATGCAAACTCATTGACGATTTTTGCTGTAAAAAAAATGATCAAATAATGTGTTAGGAATAAAGTCCTCCAACCGACATACCAAAATTAGATTCTTGGCACGTAAAGTTTAATAAGACATGGAACACCTTACCTGTACAGCTTTTCAAAGCAGGTAAACCATTGTTTTAATTACGTATAATTTACCTAAGAAGGCCATCTATGTAGTTCTTCAGCAAGCACTCACTTACCATAACCCCACTAAAATGTCAAGCCCCATCTAAATGTTGTAATACTTTGTTTAGCATAAAGTACATTAGATTTATCCATTATTATATCTTCCTACAGATTTCTATACATAGTGGTGTAGAAATTACAATGTGAGTAACTGATAACTGAACTGCCTTCTCAAAGCAAAACAAGAAAGAAGGTGAGGGGGGAAAAAGGGGACAATAACTGAAATGAGTCTGCTTTTTACATTTCGTTTTTCCTCTTGGCTACAATCTACAGCATTTCACACCAAACATTATCCCAAGCTACCCAGCTCTAAGGCCTAGAGTTACCCACCTACAAAACAGGCTGCACGCTCCCTGCCACAAGCAGAGTGACTCATCCTAACATCCGGCATCAATTCTTAATGAGTCCCCGAGCCCCCGCAGTCCTGTCTACTTCTTTTCTTTTCCAGTGAATCCTCACAGTCCCCTTTCCCTGCATGTTCTCTGTCCCAAATTTCTGAAGCCCCTCCCTTTCCGTCTCTTAAGAATCTCTACGAACCCGAAAGCCCGTGAGGCTGATGGCACGTCTGTGGTTCCTTTCTCCTTCTTCCCTCCATACCCACAGCTCCCCGGGACCGGACCCTCCCCACTCACCAGGTGCAGGGCCAGGGGCAGCAGCAGGAGGAACAGCCACAGGTAGAGGTGGCAGCTGTTGGTGAACTTGCTCTGCTCCGGGTCGTGGTACCAGCCCCCGGTGAGCGCGGCCCACACGCCCTGCCGGAGCAGCTGCAGCACCTGGGACACCATGCCGGCTGCGCCCCGGGGCTGGTGAGCGCCCCGCTGCACCCTGCGCGCCCCGGCCGGATCTCCAGGCTCCCTCAGGTCTAACACCCGGGCCCGCGGGCCGCGCCCCCGCCGTCGCCGCCGCCGTCGCCCCCGCCGCCTCCTTCCACCCCACGTTTGAAGCTGGAGCTGCTCTTCCGCCCGGACCCGCGAACCGCGGCGCCGGAGCCGGCTGCTGCGGCCGGGCAGGTGAGCGCCATGTCCGAGGGAGGAAGGATTTTCCCATCGTGCTCAGAGGCGGCTGCTCAGAGGTTGCTTCCGAGGCTCCTCCCAACGCCCGCCCAGTCCCTCCTTAGCCTTCGCTGGGGGCCAGAAGGATTTCTGTGAGTGCCTCCAGCCTTTTCTTTCTCTCTTTCTCTTTTTCTCTCTTTCTTTCTCTCTCTCTTTTTCCTTCCTCCTCCCTCCCTCTCTCTCTCTTTCTTCCTTCCTTCCTTCCTTTCTCTCTCTCTCTCTCTTTCTTTCTCGCTCTTTTTTTCTTTCTTTCTTTCTTTTTTTTTTTTGCCTCTCCCCTCTTCCCTTCCCCTTCTCTCTGATCCTCCTGTTAGGGGACGTGCAAGGGTGTTCTCATGCAGAAGGCACAGACCCAGGACACGTTCCTTGTCCTTGTCCTTTTTTGCACCCAAGTATTTACCTCATACAAGGTCCTGTCACACAGCACTCAAAGTAATTTCTTCTCCTGAGCACTTCCTGCACGACTTCATTCTCCTTAATTAAGGGCTGACCCCAGACGTTCTATTAATCTAAGCTCTACCTGGTCCTCTGCCACTGATCTTCTGTCCTCCCTGACTGTTTCTCCTCCACTCCCTGTTGTCCAACTTGGTGGAGAAAGAAGATAACCACCTTCCTGATAAAATTTTAGGAGCTTCAGTTAGCCTTAGTTTTTTATCTCTTTCCTAGAACATAATCCCAGGTATTTAACTGGCTATATAGAACATTAGTCTAAATCTCTCTATGCTGTTTAGACAGGAAGACCCACTGGACAAAAAATTAATAATCTTTAAGCTATTATATATTTTATCATTTACAGTGGATACAGTTTAGATTCTCTTTTGAGAGTGGGTTTTGGAAAGGGAAGAGATAAAAAGGAGCTTGTCTTCCTTTGGGATGAGGAGCAGAAGCCCTGTGTGAGCTAGAGCCTTAGGGAGAGACAAAGATTAGAGGGCTCCATGATTCCCAACACGCCTTCCCTGCATCATCCTTACCTGGTCTGTCCCAACACATCACACTCCTCTGACTTGTGTGCCTGCCTGTGTCCTGGCCATGTTCTGGTCTGCAGCAGCACTTACTTATGGCTGCCCTAGTCAGGCCCAGTAAAGGCACACCAGCCTTCCCAGGCTGAAACGAAGATAAGGACAGGCCCATCATGAGGAGAGGGCCCAGGACATGAAAGGCCACTGAGTTACAGCAAAAGCCTCACTATGGTGTGTCTGCCATCAGCTATAACCACTCTTCCTTCTACTTTACATTCATCAGTAGGAATGAATCATCAAAATGGAATATGGCTGCTTTCTGTACTGGAAGAGTAATTTTCTTAAAGACACAGCTTGTAAACAAATGGGCTTTTTTGTATATCTGCTCAAAATGCTTGTAACCTACCAGGTGCTGTATAAGTGTTTAATGGGTTAATCAACCAATCAACTCCACATTAAAGGAGCGCCGTCACGTGCATGGGTATAGGAGGAAAGGTCATGCAACAGTCTGTTCCCACATGGAGGTTGTGTCCTTGTTCACTTGTCCTGATTCATCAAATATTTACTCAACACCTTCTGGGTGTCAAGCATTTTGCAGAAGACTAAGAAAGCAAATGTAAGTCAAATATAGTCCCTACCATGAAGGAGTTAATAAACCACAAGAGGAGGCAGGAAAATCAAAGACTTGCAATAAAATGTGCTGCCTGTTATCATATTGTAGAAATGGACACATATCCAGATATATGGAAGCACTGGGGCACTGTGGAGTGCAGAAGACATGTGTAAGTCTGTGAGGGAGGGGTGGTGTCAATAAGCACCAGGGAACTGGGTCTTAAAGCTAAATATTAGCTCTCAAGGCATGTAAGTGGGAATAGTTCTCCAGGCACATGTATATGTGGAAAGAGGAGCATGGCAATTTGGGGAAAATGTCAGGATAGTCTAACATGTCTGGAAGGTAGGGCTGGGAATGGGAGAAACGGAACAGTAGGAAACTTAATGAGATAAGCAAAGGTCAGTCTCCTGGGCCATACAAAGTTCTTCAGATCTTATCCTAGGCAATGGACAAGAACTGGAAGGCTGAAGCATGCATGTGACATGATCGATAGTACAGGGGCAAATGCTGAACACCTGAACCAGCAGGAAGGGACAAAATGTTGAGGGATCATATATGATCTTAAGGCTTAGAGATCAATTCAATGTGGAGATAAAGGGATAAGGAATGTAATGATTTTCCATTTTGGGTTGAGATGACTATACTGTAAAACTAATCCATTTATAAGATATAGGAAGATTAGCAGTGAAAGATGACTACACTGAATTTGAGTTGCTGAGGGACTTTGCAAGCCATCAGGGAGAGAATGTTTCTGAAGCTTAGGGGAGGTTTCTGAAATAGGATTTATACTTGAGAGAGATCAGCAGATAGTCCCATAAAACGGGATGATAATGTCCCAGAAAAAAATGAAGCCAAGAGGGCTGTGAATTACAAGGATTAAACACACAAGCAGGACAAAAGAGGGAGGAAAGGAGGAAAATAAGGTGAATCTGAAATTAGCAAATAAATGGGGAAAGAACAATTCAAGAAGGACGTGATTAATAGTGTCAAGTGCCATAGAAGAGGCCAAGTACAAAGGTTGTTATTAGGACACAGCCATTAGGAGTGACCTAATGTGACATAGCCTCAGCCATTTTGAGGATTAAAGATGATAAAGTGGGCAGGTGCCTAATTGTGTTGTATTACAAAAGATTGAATGTGTAGTGAATGCAAAAGTAGAGGGAGGCAAAGTCAGCTGCTCCTTAGAGGAGCCTGGCCATGGAGGTGAGCGTGATCTAAATGCAGGTGCAATGGTCAAGAAAGTGTTTGTTTTGACTGATTGGCTTTTAATATTAAAACCTAAGTATGCTGGCCAGTCATGGTGGTTCACGCCTGTAATCCCAGCACTTTGGGAGGCCGAGGCGGGTGGATCACCTGAGGTCAGGAGTTCGAGACCAGCCTGGCCAACATGATGAAACCCCATCTCTACTAAAAATACAAAAATGAGCCGGGTGTGGTGGTGTGCACCTGTAGTCCCAGCTACTAGGGAGGCTGAGAATCGCTTGAACCTGGGAGGCAGAGGTTGCAGTGAGCCAGGATCATGCCACTGCACTCCAGCCTGGGTGACAGAGCGAGACTGCATCTCAAAAACAAACAAACAAACAAACAAACAAAAAACTAAGTATGCTTCTTCTTGACTACTTGTTTCCTGGCATCATTATAGCTTTCACTGTAATGCATATGTTGGAGACTCTAAAGTCTTTATCTTCAGCCCTAACTTTTTCCTGAATTTCGATTTAAATCCAGTTGGGTGCCCTTCTGCCCATAGGCCCTCAGCATGTTCAAATGTGAACTCTCTGTCTTCTCTCTTACTGCAATTCCTTCCATTGTGCCTTTTGTATTTTGATCTCAGCCGATGAAACCACAATCCACCCAGTCACTTAGAACCAGGAGGAAACCTAAATTCCTCCTCCTCTCATCCTCCTCTCTCTCACTACCATATCCAGTCAGTGACCATGTCTTATCGATTTTATTTCCAAATGATAATTAACTACATATGTTTGCTCTATCCCTGTTGCCATGACTTCAAGTCATCCTCAGAATTTCTCTCGAACTATCAAAGTGGCTTCCTAACTAATTTTTGTATCTCCAACTAAACCTTCTATATCAATGAAGGGAAGAAAGGAGCAACTCTAGCTTTCAAAGCATACATAAGTTTACACAGGAAATGAGAAAGCTGAAAAAGCAAACAAGGGATCAGACAAAGCAGAATATGCACCTACCACTCCTAGGACTGGAAGAACAGTGGGAACAAGTAGTATTGTTAGAAGCCACAAGCCAGAGGTTGGCGGCAAGAGATAGATCCATGGCAGGGCAGTCTGGAAAGAGCTGAAGCCTTGAGGACCTGCAGCGGCCACAGGTGGTACGACAGAAAGGGAATGGGTTTGAGTCGGGAATATGCAGAAGGGAGGAGCAAACATGAATACTCTGGTTTCTTCTCTTTTCCAGTCAGTTACCTGTCTCTTCCATTGGCTAAACCCGCCTGGAAGTTATAGTACAGGGAAGCCTGGAAAATGTAGTTACCTATAATACAGATCACAGCATGTGAAAGGGAGGCCAGAGTGCTCTATATAAAATAAAAATCCAACCTGATTATTCCTTCTTAGATTCTTTCCATCACATTCAGAAAACAACAACAACAACAGTCCAAGTGCCCTCTACAGCCCTGCCCTCACCTAATCCCTTTAAACTCATCTCTGAACTCATCTCTGAAAACCCAAAGTGCTTGTACTTCTTTGCATACTGCATGTTTCTTCATGAGTCTACACCTTGGCTGATGCTATTCCCTCAGCATGTCAACATATCTACACACATGCACATAATCTGGTGGGATTTGGAGTGGGATTGTATTGACTTTACCAATAAATTTTGAGAGAACTGACATCTTTTCAATATTGAGCCTTTCCATAATGAACAAGATACATCCTTCCTTTATTAAGATTGCTCAATAACGTTTCATAGTGTTCTATGTAGAATTTTTGCACATCATTTTCTGGCACCCAGTGTTAGCCATGATTGAATTAGCTAGGGATGAGAGAAACAATGTAAAAGTTGAAATATTATGCAATTGAGAATAATTGGGATGGAAATGTTGAAATGATATGGGAACTAGAACAGTACTGCTTCGTGTTCAGAGACATATCCAGGCTTCCCTTGATAGGAGTTGCTTGCTAAGCAAAGTGTGTTTACTCTAGCAGCCCCTAGGGTGGGCATTCTGCCTGGGGAGAGAAGGGCAATGACTCAGCTGTGTTCAAGACACCACAACATAAACAGTGGGGTTGGAGTAGAGTAAGGTAGCTTTGCAGAGCAGTACAATCCCCTAATGTGCTTGATTTCCCAAGGTCTCCTTCAGTACATCCCCCTGTCAATTACAACTCCAAGTAAACACAGATCTCCTTATGATCGTACTAGCAGAGGATTGAGATATGGCTATGCCAAAGAGCAGACCCTCATGAGCATGTGAAGCAGTCTAGAGCCCTGGACAAGGAGTAGCTGACTAAAGTATCCACCCCAGCCTCTGTCTTGGTGTGCCCTGCCCACTGAGACTAGTGAAGAGGTGATCTTGCACCATGTAGCTCAAGAGAAAGCCCTCATCTGCCAGTTTGCTTTTAGTCCATGGGCCCCCATGAACAGCTGGACTGCAAGCCATTCTTGCTCACTAACTTTATTGTGGATGAAAGGCTCTTTTGTAACCCCCTAGAGGGCTCTGAGTATAAGCAAGTAGGAGAAGTCATACCTGCTAGAGAAGTGAAAGAGAGATTTATAAAATGTCTCACAGAGGTAATACTAGCTGCTAATCCTCATATATGTAGACTCTTATTTATAAACATTATACAAGCAACATATCAAAAATTGAAAAATGTTGAAATAACTAAAAGTTCAAAGCTAAGTACTCTAAAAGAATGGCTCCCACTAAAATAGAAAACATAAAGAAAACAAGAAAGGTCCTTTAAAATTATAATTGATATTCTTCAAGAGATTTGAGGGAAGAATTCATTGAGTAAAATAGCAGGCCAGTATTACAGAGAAGCAATTGGAAAGTAAAAGAGAATGTTGACCATTAACAGAGCTTGTGACTATCATATGCAAATGCTTTCTGAAAATAAAGGGAAAATGCTTGCCAACTCACTATATAAGGCAAGTATTTCCCTGATACCAAAGCAGATAAAGACATGACAGGAAACGAAAACTTGACCATGTATTATCCTGCCTTAACAAAAGCAAAAATCCTTAAAAACATATTAGCAATCTGAGTCCAGCAACATATAAAAAGGATTACATACTATGACCAAGTAGAATTCATCCCAGGAATTCAAGGTTGGCTTAACATCCAAAAATCAATTATATATTTGAGGGTAGCCCTAATCTGTGTGATGGAGGGCACCACAGATAGCTGCTACACTCTTGTACACCCTTTCTCAGAGATACTGGAAAATATGCTTCATTAAAAGGAAAGAATATACTAAGAAAGATAAAGTCACAGGACCAAGGGAACAAGCTTTTTTTTTTTTTTTTTCCAGAGTCTTGCTCTGCCGCCCAAGCCAGAATGCAGTGGTGCAATCTCAGCTCACTGCAATCTCTGTCTCCTGGGTTCAAGTGATTCTCATGCCTCAGCCTCCTGAGTAGCTGGGATTACAGGCATGCACCACCACCCCCGGCTAATTTTTATATATTTTTTTCTGGTAGAGATGAGGTTTCCATGTTGGCCAGGCTGGTCTCAAACTCCTGACCTCGGGTAATGCCCCCGCCTTGGCCTCCCAAAGTGTTGGGATTATAGTGAACCACTGCGCCCAGCCAAGAACAAGCAATTGAAAAGAGAGAAAGAAAATTAAAAAACAATCTCCAGGACAACAGTTCACAAAACAGCAGGCCTAGAGAATAACCAAATCAGATGAAGCATTGAGATAAATTTTGAATGTAATATCTTTAATAATTTTAGATCTAATTGATTTTTTTACTTCTTTTATCTTTTTGGTAAATATATTTTTTTCTAGGAATTTGTTCATTTGACTTTATTGGTATAAAGTTTGTCATACTATCCTCTTGTGATTTAATAAAAATGTCTATGCATTTTTATGCACAGTGGTCTGTGCCTTTTCATTCTTAAAATCAGTTATTTGTGCCATCTCATTCTTTCATGATTATTCATTAGGAATTTCTCATTTTATTTAGTCTTCTCAAAGAAAAAATTTCAGCTTTTTCATCTTCTTTATCAAATGATTTTTTTTAATTTTGTCAATTTATGTTCTTTATGTTTCTCTTGTACTGTGTCTCAGCCTTATTTGTTTTACTTTTTCTATCTTCTTGAGATGTATGCTTCACCTGCATTTTTTTGCTTCTCCTTCCATCATATATATATATATACAGTTAAATCTATACATTTTCCTCTAAGTATGACATTAGTTGCATTCTCAAAATTTCAATATATTTTACTACATTCAATTCAGAATATTTTCTAATTTCCATTAGGATTCCTTTGACCTATAGATTATTTCGAAGTATATTGCTTCTAAGTATGTATAGACATATATGAGCACTTCCTAATAATCTATATCCTCATTTAATTCCAGAGAACATACTCTTAATAACTGTCAGACTTGATTTATGGCAAAGAATATGATTAGTTTTGTAAATGTGTGTGTCAGCTTAAAAAGAATGATTTTTCTGCACTCTAAAAGTGCAGTATTCTGTAAATGTCCCCTAGTTAAATCTGCTAATCATTTGCTCAAATATTTTTCATCCTTACAGACTTTTTGTCTGCCTTTCTATCAGTTAATGACAGAGGTGTCATTCTTTTTAAGATTTGTCAAATACAAATGCACACACACACACACACAATGGACCATATTCTTTAACATAAATCAAGCCTCAATAAATTTCAAATAATTAAAATTATTTAGAGTTCAGAGGACTTTCTACAGAACTAAGTGAGAAATCAAAGATCATTATAAAATCATATATAGTCCCAGCACTTTGGGAGGCCGAGGCAGGCAGATTGTTTGAGCTCAGGAGTTTGAGACTAGCCTGGGCAACATGGAGAAATCCTGTCTTTACAAAAAAATACAAAAATTTGCTGGGTGTGGTGGTGTGTGCCTGTAGTCCCAGCTGCCTGGTGGGCTGAGGAAGGAAGATCCTTTGAGCAGGAGAGGTTAAGGCTTCAGTGAGCCATGTTCACACCACTGTACTCCAGCTTGGGCGAAAAAGTGGGACCCTGTCTCAAAAAATCATATATGTACATATATATCTATAAAGCCATTTATACATATTATATACACACTATGTTAAATTAAGTTTTTATATCTTTCTGAAGAAATGAACCTTTTATAATCATGCAGAATATCTCCAGGAATTTTTTTTTATTATACTTTAAGTTTTAGGGTACGTGTGCACAACGTGCAGGTTAGTTACATATGTATACGTGTGCCATGTTGGTGTGCTGCACTCCAGGAATTTTTAAAATTTAAATTCTATTCTATCTGATATTAATGCAGTCACCTCAGGGTTCTTCTGGTTAGTGTTTATATGGTTATATATTTTTGTATCATTTTACTTTTAACTTTTCTGTGTCTTTATGTTCTGTCTTCATGTTTGTTTCTTATAAGCAGCATATAGTTGGGATACAGTTTTTATTTGATCTGATAATCTTTGACTTTAATTAGAATATTTAGTCTGTTACATTTAATGCAGTTGTAATAGTACTGGATTTAATCATATCACGATTTTGAGTTTGTCTTTTTTCCACTTTGCTTTCTCTTGGCTTCTTTGGAATGATCTATTTTTTATTATTCAATTTTACTAGCTTAAAAGTCATAAACTCTTAAAACTTTTTTAAAGGGGTCAGAAATATAAAGTGATGCATTTCCAATAGAGGTGGAATTATACAGTGGACAGGATGGTGTCAGCACATGGGGGACACATATGAAGAAGTGGCACAGAGGAGCATGAGCATGGGGTAGTATTATTTTGTGTAGCAGTTAGAGGTAAAGCAAAGATTATTTATAATGATATGAGGATCTCACAGAACACAACTGAAAGAATGTGGAGGGGGCAGAGAAAAGGTAGGCTAATCCTCATTCAGTTAGCACAAAGAAGGGAAATACAGACGACAAAAAGACTATGTTAATGAGGAAATGCCTAATAGGTAGAATACTAAACCTTTACTCCAAGATAATTTGATATTTTCCCAAATGTGTTTACCCAAGAGTAAGCATAAAAAATAAATTACATCTTTTGGCTCTTTTAAGCACATATTATAATTCAGACAGTGAAATGTGAAATAGAAAATGCCAGTTATTATGAGATGAATAAAGGGAGGGAAAGGAAGGAAGGATGGGCAGAGGAGAAAGGGAGAAAAAGAAAAAGCAGAGTGGCTTTTACTCATTTGTAGCACTAGGTGGCACCAGAACACTGCTTAGAATGTAGTAAAATAAAATACGTTATTGGTATTGCAAAGCAAGGAAGGATTTTAACAGGGCAAATTCAATATTGCAGAAAGCTTGTTCCCCCAAATGACAGGTCTGCTTTTCACCTAATTACATTTTGTGAAGATCACCTTCATATCTTGTATGGTCAGTGTATATTGTATGTGTGTTTTGCATGTGACTATTATCATTTATTTTTAGGTTATTTTTCCTTAATCTTCTACACAAATTAGTGTTCCTGAATAACAGAATAGAAATAATGGAATATAAGGAATATTATGAGTTATAATTGAAGAACTTCTTCAGAAACAAAAGAGGACTTTAACTTACCTAAACATTCAATGGATATATCATTCCCCATCCCCAAAATGACAAAAACAATGATAATAATAACATGAAGAAAGGTTCTAGGGCAACTGACTTCTGTGTAGTAGAACAAGTTTCTTTATGGTATAAAAATATTTTGTATATAGCTCCTTTATTCTCATATTTGTTTTAAAAGACAAATCGTAAAGCAAGAATTACAAAACTATGTTGAAGGACTTATAATGTATAAAGATACAATTTGTATAAAAAAAAGCACAAAGGAAATGAGATAAAATGGAGTTATATTGTT